>NC_000003.12:91722495-91891572 GCF_000001405.40 Homo sapiens | reverse complement strand
TAGCTGAAGGAGACCCAAGAGTCCCTGTGGGCTGAGGGCAAAGACCTGAGAGAGACCAGGGAGGCCCTCAGTGAAGTCTGTGAGTCTGTAGGTGATTCCGGAGTGTGGGAGGCTGACTCCCGCTGAAATCTGGGCGTGGTGGGAGAGTAGCTGGGACAGACAGGAGAGTCCCAGGGGGCTGGGGGTGACGACATGAGAGAGACTGGGGAGTAACTCAGTGAATTTGCTGAGTTGGTTGGTGATACCTGGGTGCCTGGAACTGACCCCCGCTGAAATCTGGGCATGGTTGGAGAGTAGCTGGGACACACAGGAGAGTCCCTGAGGGCTGGGGGTGAAGACATGAGCGAGACCGGGGAGTAACTGAGTGAAACTGGTGCCAAATATCCACTTGCAGATTCTGCAAAAAGAGTATTTCGAAACAACTGTATGAAAAGAAAGGTTAAACACTGTGAGTTGAACGCACACATTGCAAAGCGGTTTCTGAGAATGATTCCGTCTAATTATTATACGAAGGTATTTCCTTTTCTATCATTGGCCTCAAAGCGCTTGATACCTCCACCTGAAAATTCCACAAAAAGAGTGTTTCCAATCTACTCTGTCTAAAGGAACGTTCAACTCTGTGAGTTGAATACACACACACAGAAAGAATTCACTGAGAATTCTTCTGTCTGGCATTACATGAAGAAATCCCGTTTCCAACGAAGACCTCAAAGAGGTCCAAATATCCACTTGCAGATTCTGCAAAAAGAGTGTTTCAAAACCGCTCCATTAAAAGGAATGTTGAACTCTGTGAGTTGAATGCAAACATCACAACTCAGTTGCTGAGAATGCTTCTGACTAGATTTTATGGTAAGATATTTCCTTTTCTGCCGTAGGCTTCAATGCCCTCTAAATACACCCTTGCAAATTCTACAAAGAGACTGTTTCATAACTGCTCTATAGGAAGAAAGGTTGAACTCTGTGAGTTGAATGCAGAGATCACAACGTGGTTTCTGCGAATGATTCTTTGTAGTTTTTACATGAAGATATTTCGTTGTCAACCGTAGGCTTCAAAGCACTCAAAGTATTCACTTGGAACTTTTACAAAAAGAGTATTAGAAAACTGCTCTTTCCAAAGTAAGGTTCAACTCTGTGAGTTGAATGCACACATAACAATCAAGACGTTTCTGAGAATTCTTCTGTCCTGGTTTATATGAAAAAATCCCGTTTCCAACGAAGGCCTCAAAGACGTTTAAATATCCACTTGCAGACTTCACAAACAGAGGGTTTCCAAACTGCTCTATGAAAAGAAAGGTTAAACTCTGTGAGTTGAACGCACACATCACAAAGTAGCTTCTGAGAATGATACTGTCTAGTTTTTATACGAAGATATTTCCTTTCTACCATTGGCGTCAAAGCGCTAGAATTCTCCACTTGCAATTTCCACAAAAAGAGTGTTTCCAATCTGCTCTGTCTAAAGGAAGGTTCAACTCTGTGAGTTGAATACACACACACAAAGAAGCTACTGAGAATTCTTTTGTCAAGAATTATAAGAAGAAATCCCGTTTCCAACGAAGGCCTCAAAGAGTTCCAAATATCCACTTGCACACTGCACAAACTAAGTCTTTCCAAACTGCTCTATGCAAAGAAATGTTCAACTCGGTGAGTTTAATACACACATCACAAAGCAGTTTCTGAGAATGATACTGTCTAGTTTTTATACGAAGATATTTCCTTTTGTACCATTGGCCTCATACTGCTAGAATTTTCCACTTGCAAATTCCACAAAAAGAGTGTTTCCAATCCGCTCTGTCTAAAGGAAGGTTCAACTCTCTGATTTGAATACATACATCCCAAAAGAAGTTACTGAGAATTCTTCTGTCTAGCATTATGTGAAGAAATCCCGTTTCCAACGAAAGCCTCCAAGAGGTCCAAATATCCAGTTGCAGAATTTACAAACTGACTGTTTCCAAACTCATCTATGAAAAGAAAGGTTAAACTCTGTGAGTTGAATGCACATATCACAAAGTAGTTCCTGAGAATGATTCTGTCTAGTTTTTATACGAAGATATTTCCTTTTCCACCAATGGCCTCAAAGTGCTTGAAATCTCCCCTTGCAAATTCCACAGACAAGTGTTTCAAATCTGCACTGTCTAAAGGAAGGTTCAACCCTGTGAGTTGAATACACACACACAGAAACAAATTCACTGAGAATTCTATTGTCTATCATTACACGAAGAAATCCCGTTTACTACGAAGGCCTCAAAGAGGTCCAAATATCCAGCTGCAGACATTACAAACTGAGTGTTTCCAAAGTGCTCTATGAAAAGAAGTGTTAAACACTGTGAGTTCAATGCACACATCCCAAAGCAGTTTCTGAGAATGATTCCGTCTATTTTTTCTACGAAGATATTTCCTTTTCTGCCGTTGGCCTCAAAGCGCTTGAAATCTCCACTTGCAAATTCCACAAAAAGAGAGTTTCAAATCTGCTCTGTCTAAAGGAAGGTTCAACTCTGTGAGTTGAATACACACCACAAAAAGAAGTTACTGAGAATTCTTCTGTCTAGCATTATATGAAAAATCCCGTTTCCAACGAAGGCCACAAAGAGGTCCAAATATCCACTTGCAGATTCTGCAAAAAGAGTGTTTCCAAACTGCTCTATGAAAAGAAACGTTAAACTCTGTGAGTTGAACGCAAACATCACAAAGTAGTTTCTGAGAATGACTCCGTCTAGTTTTTATACGAAGATATTTCCTTTCCTACCATTCACTTCAAAGCGCTTGAAGTCTCCCCCTGAAAATTCCACAAAAAGTGTTTCCAATCTGCTCCGCCTAAAGGAAGCTTCAACTCTGTGACTTGAATACCCACAACCCAAAGAAGTTACTGAGAATTCTTCTGTCTAGCATTATATGAAGAAATCCCGTTTCCAACGAAGGCCTCAAATACATCCAAATATCCAGTTGCTGACTTTACAAACTGAGTGTTTCCAAACTGCTCTATGAAAAGAAAGGTTAAACACTGTGAGTTGAACACACACGTACCAAAGTAGTTTCTGAGAATGATTCTGTCTAGTTTGCATACGAAGATATTTCCTTTTCTACCATTGGCCTCAAAGCTCTGAAATCTCCACTTGCAAATTCCACAAAAAGAGAGTTTCAAATCTGCTGTTTCTAAAGGAAAGTTCAACTCTGAGAGTTGAATACACACCAGAAAAAGCAGTTACTGAGAAGTCTTCTGTCTAGCATTATATGAAGAAATCCCATTTCCAACGAAGACTTCAAAGAGGTCCAAATATCCACTTGCAGATTCTGCAAAAAGAGTGTTTCGAAACAACTGTATGAAAAGAAAGGTTAAACACTGTGAGTTGAACGCACACATTGCAAAGCGGTTTCTGAGAATGATTCCGTCTAATTATTATACGAAGGTATTTCCTTTTCTATCATTGGCCTCAAAGCGCTTGATACCTCCACCTGAAAATTCCACAAAAAGAGTGTTTCCAATCTACTCTGTCTAAAGGAACGTTCAACTCTGTGAGTTGAATACACACACACAGAAAGAATTCACTGAGAATTCTTCTGTCTGGCATTACATGAAGAAATCCCGTTTCCAACGAAGGCCTCAAAGAGGTCCAAATATCCACTTGCAGATTCTGCAAAAAGAGTGTTTCAAAACCGCTCCATTAAAAGGAATGTTGAACTCTGTGAGTTGAATGCAAACATCACAACTCAGTTTCTGAGAATGCTTCTGACTAGATTTTATGGTAAGATATTTCCTTTTCTACCGTAGGCTTCAATGCCCTCTAAATACACCCTTGCAAATTCTACAAAGAGACTGTTTCATAACTGCTCTATAGGAAGAAAGGTTCAACTCTGTGAGTTGAATGCAGAGATCACAACGTGGTTTCTGCGAATGATTCTTTGTAGTTTTTACATGAAGATATTTCGTTGTCAACCGTAGGCTTCAAAGCACTCAAAGTATTCACTTGGAACTTTTACAAAAAGAGTGTTAGAAAACTGCTCTTTCCAAAGTAAGGTTCAAATCTGTGAGTTGAATGCACCCATAACAATCAAGAAGTTTCTGAGAATTCTTCTGTCCTGGTTTATATGAAGAAATCCCGTTTCCAACGAAGGCCTCAAAGACGTTTAAATATCCACTTGCAGACTTCACAAACAGAGTGTTTCCAAACTGCTCTATGAAAAGAAAGGTTAAACTCTGTGAGTTGAACGCACACATCACAAAGTAGTTTCTGAGAATGATACTGTCTAGTTTTTATACGAAGATATTTCCTTTCTACCATTGGCGTCAAAGCGTTAGAATTCTCCACTTGCAAATTCCACAAAAAGAGTGTTTCCAATCTGCTCTGTCTAAAGGAAGGTTCAACTCTGTGAGTTGAATACACACACACAAAGAAGCTACTGAGAATTCTTTTGTCAAGAATTATAAGAAGAAATCCCGTTTCCAACGAAGGCCTCAAAGAGTTCCAAATATCCACTTGCACACTGCAAAAACTAAGTCTTTCCAAACTGCTCTATGCAAAGAAATGTTCAACTCTGTGAGTTTAATTCACACATCACAAAGCAGTTTCTGAGAATGATACTGTCTAGTTTTTATACGAAGATATTTCCTTTTGTACCATTGGCCTCATACTGCTAGAATTTTCCACTTGCAAATTCCACAAAAAGAGTGTTTCCAATCCGCTCTGTCTAAAGGAAGGTTCAACTCTCTGATTTGAATACATACATCCCAAAAGAAGTTACTGAGAATTCTTCTGTCTAGCATTATGTGAAGAAATCCCGTTTCCAACGAAAGCCTCAAAGAGGTCCAAATATCCAGTTGCAGAATTTACAAACTGACTGTTTCCAAACTCATCTATGAAAAGAAAGGTTAAACTCTGGGAGTTGAATGCCCATATCACAAAGTAGTTCCTGAGAATGATTCTGTATAGTTTTCATACGAAGATATTTCCTTTTCCACCAATGGCCTCAAAGTGCTTGAAATCTCCCCTTGCAAATTCCACAGACAAGTGTTTCAAATCTGCACTGTCTAAAGGATGGTTCAACCCTGTGAGTTGAATACACACACACAGAAAAAAATTCACTGAGAATTCTATTGTCTATCATTACACGAAGAAATCCCGTTTACTACGAAGGCCTCAAAGAGGTCCAAATATCCAGCTGCAGACATTATAAACTGAGTGTTTCCAAAGTGCTCTATGAAAAGAAGTGTTAAACACTGTGAGTTCAATGCACACATCCCAAAGCAGTTTCTGAGAATGATTCCGTCTATTTTTTCTACGAAGATATTTCCTTTTCTGCCGTTGGCCTCAAAGCGCTTGAAATCTCCACTTGCAAATTCCACAAAAAGAGAGTTTCAAATCTGCTCTGTCTAAAGGAAGGTTCAACTCTGTGAGTTGAATACACACCACAAAAAGAAGTTACTGAGAATTCTTCTGTCTAGCATTATATGAAAAATCCCGTTTCCAACGAAGGCCCCAAAGAGGTCCAAATATCCACTTGCAGATTCTGCAAAAAGAGTGTTTCCAAACTGCTCTATGAAAAGAAACGTTAAACTCTGTGAGTTGAACGCAAACATCACAAAGTAGTTTCTGAGAATGACTCCGTCTAGTTTTTATACGAAGATATTTCCTTTCCTACCATTCACTTCAAAGCGCTTGAAGTCTCCCCCTGAAAATTCCACAAAAAGTGTTTCCAATCTGCTCCGCCTAAAGGAAGCTTCAACTCTGTGACTTGAATACCCACAACCCAAAGAAGTTACTGAGAATTCTTCTGTCTAGCATTATATGAAGAAATCCCGTTTCCAACGAAGGCCTCAAATACATCCAAATATCCAGTTGCTGACTTTACAAACTGAGTGTTTCCAAACTGCTCTATGAAAAGAAAGGTTAAACACTGTGAGTTGAACACACACGTACCAAAGTAGTTTCTGAGAATGATTCTGTCTAGTTTGCATACGAAGATATTTCCTTTTCTACCATTGGCCTCAAAGCTCTGAAATCTCCACTTGCAAATTCCACAAAAAGAGAGTTTCAAATCTGCTGTTTCTAAAGGAAAGTTCAACTCTGAGAGTTGAATACACACCAGAAAAAGCAGTTACTGAGAAGTCTTCTGTCTAGCATTATATGAAGAAATCCCATTTCCAACGAAGACTTCAAAGAGGTCCAAATATCCACTTGCAGATTCTGCAAAAAGAGTGTTTCGAAACAACTGTATGAAAAGAAAGGTTAAACACTGTGAGTTGAACGCACACATTGCAAAGCAGTTTCTGAGAATGATTCCGTCTAATTATTATACGAAGGTATTTCCTTTTCTATCATTGGCCTCAAAGCGCTTGATACCTCCACCTGAAAATTCCACAAAAAGAGTGTTTCCAATCTACTCTGTCTAAAGGAACGTTCAACTCTGTGAGTTGAATACACACACACAGAAAGAATTCACTGAGAATTCTTCTGTCTGGCATTACATGAAGAAATCCCGTTTCCAACGAAGGCCTCAAAGAGGTCCAAATATCCACTTGCAGATTCTGCAAAAAGAGTGTTTCAAAACCGCTCCATTAAAAGGAATGTTGAACTCTGTGAGTTGAATGCAAACATCACAACTCAGTTGCTGAGAATGCTTCTGACTAGATTTTATGGTAAGATATTTCCTTTTCTACCGTAGGCTTCAATGCCCTCTAAATACACCCTTGCAAATTCTACAAAGAGACTGTTTCATAACTGCTCTATAGGAAGAAAGGTTCAACTCTGTGAGTTGAATGCAGAGATCACAACGTGGTTTCTGCGAATGATTCTTTGTAGTTTTTACATGAAGATATTTCGTTGTCAACCGTAGGCTTCAAAGCACTCAAAGTATTCACTTGGAACTTTTACAAAAAGAGTGTTAGAAAACCGCTCTTTCCAAAGTAAGGTTCAACTCTGTGAGTTGAATGCACCCATAACAATCAAGAAGTTTCTGAGAATTCTTCTGTCCTGGTTTATATGAAGAAATCCCGTTTCCAACGAAGGCCTCAAAGACGTTTAAATATCCACTTGCAGACTTCACAAACAGAGGGTTTCCAAACTGCTCTATGAAAAGAAAGGTTAAACTCTGTGAGTTGAACGCACACATCACAAAGTAGCTTCTGAGAATGATACTGTCTAGTTTTTATACGAAGATATTTCCTTTCTACCATTGGCGTCAAAGCGCTAGAATTCTCCACTTGCAAATTCCACAAAAAGAGTGTTTCCAATCTGCTCTGTCTAAAGGAAGGTTCAACTCTGTGAGTTGAATACACACACACAAAGAAGCTACTGAGAATTCTTTTGTCAAGAATTATAAGAAGAAATCCCGTTTCCAACGAAGGCCTCAAAGAGTTCCAAATATCCACTTGCACACTGCACAAACTAAGTCTTTCCAAACTGCTCTATGCAAAGAAATGTTCAACTCTGTGAGTTTAATACACACATCACAAAGCAGTTTCTGAGAATGATTACTGTCTAGTTTTTATACGAAGAATATTTCCTTTTGTACCATTGGCCTCATACTGCTAGAATTTTCCACTTGCAAATTCCACAAAAAGAGTGTTTCCAATCCGCTCTGTCTAAAGGAAGGTTCAACTCTCTGATTTGAATACATACATCCCAAAAGAAGTTACTGAGAATTCTTCTGTCTAGCATTATGTGAAGAAATCCCGTTTCCAACGAAAGCCTCAAAGAGGTCCAAATATCCAGTTGCAGAATTTACAAACTGACTGTTTCCAAACTCATCTATGAAAAGAAAGGTTAAACTCTGTGAGTTGAATGCACATATCACAAAGTAGTTCCTGAGAATGATTCTGTCTAGTTTTCATACGAAGATATTTCCTTTTCCACCAATGGCCTCAAAGTGCTTGAAATCTCCCCTTGCAAATTCCACAGACAAGTGTTTCAAATCTGCACTGTCTAAAGGAAGGTTCAACCCTGTGAGTTGAATACACACACACAGAAAAAAATTCACTGAGAATTCTATTGTCTATCATTACACGAAGAAATCCCGTTTACTACGAAGGCCTCAAAGAGGTCCAAATATCCAGCTGCAGACATTACAAACTGAGTGTTTCCAAAGTGCTCTATGAAAAGAAGTGTTAAACACTGTGAGTTCAATGCACACATCCCAAAGCAGTTTCTGAGAATGATTCCGTCTATTTTTTCTACGAAGATATTTCCTTTTCTGCCGTTGGCCTCAAAGCGCTTGAAATCTCCACTTGCAAATTCCACAAAAAGAGAGTTTCAAATCTGCTCTGTCTAAAGGAAGGTTCAACTCTGTGAGTTGAATACACACCACAAAAAGAAGTTACTGAGAATTCTTCTGTCTAGCATTATATGAAAAATCCCGTTTCCAACGAAGGCCACAAAGAGGTCCAAATATCCACTTGCAGATTCTGCAAAAAGAGTGTTTCCAAACTGCTCTATGAAAAGAAACGTTAAACTCTGTGAGTTGAACGCAAACATCACAAAGTAGTTTCTGAGAATGACTCCGTCTAGTTTTTATACGAAGATATTTCCTTTCCTACCATTCACTTCAAAGCGCTTGAAGTCTCCCCCTGAAAATTCCACAAAAAGTGTTTCCAATCTGCTCCGCCTAAAGGAAGCTTCAACTCTGTGACTTGAATACCCACAACCCAAAGAAGTTACTGAGAATTCTTCTGTCTAGCATTATATGAAGAAATCCCGTTTCCAACGAAGGCCTCAAATACATCCAAATATCCAGTTGCTGACTTTACAAACTGAGTGTTTCCAAACTGCTCTATGAAAAGAAAGGTTAAACACTGTGAGTTGAACACACACGTACCAAAGTAGTTTCTGAGAATGATTCTGTCTAGTTTGCATACGAAGATATTTCCTTTTCTACCATTGTCCTCAAAGCTCTGAAAACTCCACTTGCAAATTCCACAAAAAGAGAGTTTCAAATCTGCTGTTTCTAAAGGAAAGTTCAACTCTGAGAGTTGAATACACACCAGAAAAAGCAGTTACTGAGAAGTCTTCTGTCTAGCATTATATGAAGAAATCCCATTTCCAACGAAGACTTCAAAGAGGTCCAAATATCCACTTGCAGATTCTGCAAAAAGAGTGTTTCGAAACAACTGTATGAAAAGAAAGGTTAAACACTGTGAGTTGAACGCACACATTGCAAAGCAGTTTCTGAGAATGATTCCGTCTAATTATTATACGAAGGTATTTCCTTTTCTATCATTGGCCTCAAAGCGCTTGATACCTCCACCTGAAAATTCCACAAAAAGAGTGTTTCCAATCTACTCTGTCTAAAGGAACGTTCAACTCTGTGAGTTGAATACACACACACAGAAAGAATTCACTGAGAATTCTTCTGTCTGGCATTACATGAAGAAATCCCGTTTCCAACGAAGGCCTCAAAGAGGTCCAAATATCCACTTGCAGATTCTGCAAAAAGAGTGTTTCAAAACCGCTCCATTAAAAGGAATGTTGAACTCTGTGAGTTGAATGCAAACATCACAACTCAGTTTCTGAGAATGCTTCTGACTAGATTTTATGGTAAGATATTTCCTTTTCTACCGTAGGCTTCAATGCCCTCTAAATACACCCTTGCAAATTCTACAAAGAGACTGTTTCATAACTGCTCTATAGGAAGAAAGGTTCAACACTGTGAGTTGAATGCAGAGATCACAACGTGGTTTCTGCGAATGATTCTTTGTAGTTTTTACATGAAGATATTTCGTTGTCAACCGTAGGCTTCAAAGCACTCAAAGTATTCACTTGGAACTTTTACAAAAAGAGTGTTAGAAAACTGCTCTTTCCAAAGTAAGGTTCAACTCTGTGAGTTGAATGCACACATAACAATCAAGAAGTTTCTGAGAATTCTTCTGTCCTGGTTTATATGAAAAAATCCCGTTTCCAACGAAGGCCTCAAAGACGTTTAAATATCCACTTGCAGACTTCACAAACAGAGGGTTTCCAAACTGCTCTATGAAAAGAAAGGTTAAACTCTGTGAGTTTAATACACACATCACAAAGCAGTTTCTGAGAATGATACTGTCTAGTTTTTATACGAAGATATTTCCTTTTGTACCATTGGCCTCATACTGCTAGAATTTTCCACTTGCAAATTCCACAAAAAGAGTGTTTCCAATCCGCTCTGTCTAAAGGAAGGTTCAACTCTCTGATTTGAATACATACATCCCAAAAGAAGTTACTGAGAATTCTTCTGTCTAGCATTATGTGAAGAAATCCCGTTTCCAACGAAAGCCTCAAAGAGGTCCAAATATCCAGTTGCAGAATTTACAAACTGACTGTTTCCAAACTCATCTATGAAAAGTAAGGTTAAACTCTGTGAGTTGAATGCACATATCACAAAGTAGTTCCTGAGAATGATTCTGTCTAGTTTTTATACGAAGATATTTCCTTTTCCACCAATGGCCTCAAAGTGCTTTAAATCTCCCCTTGCAAATTCCACAGACAAGTGTCTCAAATCTGCACTGTCTAAAGGAAGGTTCAACCCTGTGAGTTGAATACACACACACAGAAAAAAATTCACTGAGAATTCTATTGTCTATCATTACACGAAGAAATCCCGTTTACTACGAAGGCCTCATAGAGGTCCAAATATCCAGCTGCAGACATTACAAACTGAGTGTTTCCAAAGTGCTCTATGAAAAGAAGTGTTAAACACTGTGAGTTCAATGCACACATCCCAAAGCAGTTTCTGAGAATGATTCCGTCTATTTTTTCTACGAAGATATTTCCTTTTCTACCGTTGGCCTCAAAGCGCTTGAAATCTCCACTTGCAAATTCCACAAAAAGAGAGTTTCAAATCTGCTCTGTCTAAAGGAAGGTTCAACTCTGTGAGTTGAATACACACCACAAAAAGAAGTTACTGAGAATTCTTCTGTCTAGCATTATATGAAAAATCCCGTTTCCAACGAAGGCCACAAAGAGGTCCAAATATCCACTTGCAGATTCTGCAAAAAGAGTGTTTCCAAACTGCTCTATGAAAAGAAACGTTAAACTCTGTGAGTTGAACGCAAACATCACAAAGTAGTTTCTGAGAATGACTCCGTCTAGTTTTTATACGAAGATATTTCCTTTTCTACCATTCACTTCAAAGCGCTTGAAGTCTCCCCCTGAAAATTCCACAAAAAGTGTTTCCAATCTGCTCCGCCTAAAGGAAGCTTCAACTCTGTGAGTTGAATACCCACAACCCAAAGAAGTTACTGAGAATTCTTCTGTCTAGCACTATATGAAGAAATCCCGTTTCCAACGAAGGCCTCAAATACATCCAAATATCCAGTTGCTGACTTTACAAACTGAGTGTTTCCAAACTGCTCTATGAAAAGAAAGGTTAAACACTGTGAGTTGAACACACACGTACCAAAGTAGTTTCTGAGAATGATTCTGTCTAGTTTGCATACGAAGATATTTCCTTTTCTACCATTGGCCTCAAAGCTTTGAAATCTCCACTTGCAAATTCCACAAAAAGAGAGTTTCAACTCTGCTGTTTCTAAAGGAAAGTTCAACTCTGAGAGTTGAATACACACCAGAAAAAGCAGTTACTGAGAAGTCTTCTGTCTAGCATTATATGAAGAAATCCCATTTCCAACGAAGACTTCAAAGAGGTCCAAATATCCACTTGCAGATTCTGCAAAAAGAGTGTTTCGAAACAACTGTATGAAAAGAAAGGTTAAACACTGTGAGTTGAACGCACACATTGCAAAGCAGTTTCTGAGAATGATTCCGTCTAATTATTATACGAAGGTATTTCCTTTTCTATCATTGGCCTCAAAGCGCTTGATACCTCCACCTGAAAATTCCACAAAAAGAGTGTTTCCAATCTACTCTGTCTAAAGGAACGTTCAACTCTGTGAGTTGAATACACACACACAGAAAGAATTCACTGAGAATTCTTCTGTCTGGCATTACATGAAGAAATCCCGTTTCCAACGAAGGCCTCAAAGAGGTCCAAATATCCACTTGCAGATTCTGCAAAAAGAGTGTTTCAAAACCGCTCCATTAAAAGGAATGTTGAACTCTGTGAGTTGAATGCAAACATCACAACTCAGTTGCTGAGAATGCTTCTGACTAGATTTTATGGTAAGATATTTCCTTTTCTACCGTAGGCTTCAATGCCCTCTAAATACACCCTTGCAAATTCTACAAAGAGACTGTTTCATAACTGCTCTATAGGAAGAAAGGTTGAACTCTGTGAGTTGAATGCAGAGATCACAACGTGGTTTCTGCGAATGATTCTTTGTAGTTTTTACAGGAAGATATTTCGTTGTCAACCGTAGGCTTCAAAGCACTCAAAGTATTCACTTGGAACTTTTACAAAAAGAGTGTTAGAAAACTGCTCTTTCCAAAGTAAGGTTCAACTCTGTGAGTTGAATGCACACATAACAATCAAGAAGTTTCTGAGAATTCTTCTGTCCTGGTTTATATGAAAAAATCCCGTTTCCAACGAAGGCCTCAAAGACGTTTAAATATCCACTTGCAGACTTCACAAACAGAGTGTTTCCAAACTGCTCTATGAAAAGAAAGGTTAAACTCTGTGAGTTGAACGCACACATCACAAAGTAGCTTCTGAGAATGATACTGTCTAGTTTTTATACGAAGATATTTCCTTTCTACCATTGGTGTCAAAGCGCTAGAATTCTCCACTTGCAAATTCCACAAAAAGAGTGTTTCCAATCTGCTCTGTCTAAAGGAAGGTTCAACTCTGTGAGTTGAATACACACACACAAAGAAGCTACTGAGAATTCTTTTGTCAAGAATTATAAGAAGAAATCCCGTTTCCAACGAAGGCCTCAAAGAGTTCCAAATATCCACTTGCACACTGCACAAACTAAGTCTTTCCAAACTGCTCTATGCAAAGAAATGTTCAACTCTGTGAGTTTAATACACACATCACAAAGCAGTTTCTGAGAATGATACTGTCTAGTTTTTATACGAAGATATTTCCTTTTGTACCATTGGCCTCATACTGCTAGAATTTTCCACTTGCAAATTCCACAAAAAGAGTGTTTCCAATCCGCTCTGTCTAAAGGAAGGTTCAACTCTCTGATTTGAATACATACATCCCAAAAGAAGTTACTGAGAATTCTTCTGTCTAGCATTATGTGAAGAAATCCCGTTTCCAACGAAAGCCTCAAAGAGGTCCAAATATCCAGTTGCAGAATTTACAAACTGACTGTTTCCAAACTCATCTATGAAAAGAAAGGTTAAACTCTGGGAGTTGAATGCACATATCACAAAGTAGTTCCTGAGAATGATTCTGTCTAGTTTTTATACGAAGATATTTCCTTTTCCACCAATGGCCTCAAAGTGCTTGCAATCTCCCCTTGCAAATTCCACAGACAAGTGTTTCAAATCTGCACTGTCTAAAGGAAGGTTCAACCCTGTGAGTTGAATACACACACACAGAAACAAATTCACTGAGAATTCTATTGTCTATCATTACACGAAGAAATCCCGTTTACTACGAAGGCCTCAAAGAGGTCCAAATATCCAGCTGCAGACATTACAAACTGAGTGTTTCCAAAGTGCTCTATGAAAAGAAGTGTTAAGCACTGTGAGTTCAATGCACACATCCCAAAGCAGTTTCTGAGAATGATTCCGTCTATTTTTTCTACGAAGATATTTCCTTTTCTACCGTTGGCCTCAAAGCGCTTGAAATCTCCACTTGCAAATTCCACAAAAAGAGAGTTTCAAATCTGCTCTGTCTAAAGGAAGGTTCAACTCTGTGAGTTGAATACACACCACAAAAAGAAGTTACTGAGAATTCTTCTGTCTAGCATTATATGAAAAATCCCGTTTCCAACGAAGGCCACAAAGAGGTCCAAATATCCACTTGCAGATTCTGCAAAAAGAGTGTTTCCAAACTGCTCTATGAAAAGAAACGTTAAACTCTGTGAGTTGAACGCAAACATCACAAAGTAGTTTCTGAGAATGACTCCGTCTAGTTTTTATACGAAGATATTTCCTTTTCTACCATTCACTTCAAAGCGCTTGAAGTCTCCCCCTGAAAATTCCACAAAAAGTGTTTCCAATCTGCTCCGCCTAAAGGAAGCTTCAACTCTGTGAGTTGAATACCCACAACCCAAAGAAGTTACTGAGAATTCTTCTGTCTAGCACTATATGAAGAAATCCCGTTTCCAACGAAGGCCTCAAATACATCCAAATATCCAGTTGCTGACTTTACAAACTGAGTGTTTCCAAACTGCTCTATGAAAAGAAAGGTTAAACACTGTGACTTGAACACACACGTACCAAAGTAGTTTCTGAGAATGATTCTGTCTAGTTTGCATACGAAGATATTTCCTTTTCTACCATTGGCCTCAAAGCTTTGAAATCTCCACTTGCAAATTCCACAAAAAGAGAGTTTCAACTCTGCTGTTTCTAAAGGAAAGTTCAACTCTGAGAGTTGAATACACACCAGAAAAAGCAGTTACTGAGAAGTCTTCTGTCTAGCATTATATGAAGAAATCCCATTTCCAACGAAGACTTCAAAGAGGTCCAAATATCCACTTGCAGATTCTGCAAAAAGAGTGTTTCGAAACAACTGTATGAAAAGAAAGGTTAAACACTGTGAGTTGAACGCACACATTGCAAAGCAGTTTCTGAGAATGATTCCGTCTAATTATTATACGAAGGTATTTCCTTTTCTATCATTGACCTCAAAGCACTTGATACCTCCACCTGAAAATTCCACAAAAAGAGTGTTTCCAATCTACTCTGTCTAAAGGAACGTTCAACTCAGTGAGTTGAATACACACACACAGAAAGAATTCACTGAGAATTCTTCTGTCTGGCATTTACATGAAGAAATCCCGTTTCCAACGAAGGCCTCAAAGGGTCCAAATATCCACTTGCAGATTCTGCAAATAGAGTGTTTCAAAACCGCTCTATTAAAAGGAATGTTGAACTCTGTGAGTTGAACGCAAACATCACAACTCAGTTGCTGAGAATGCTTCTGTCTAGTTTTTATGGTCAGATATTTCCTTTTCTACCGTAGGCTTCAATGCCCTCTAAATACACCCTTGCAAATTCTACAAAGAGAGTGTTTCATAACTGCTCTATAGAAAGAAAGGTTGAACTCTATGAGTTGAATGCACAGATCACAACGTGGTTTCTGCGAATGATTCTTTCTAGTTTTTACATGCAGATATTTCGTTGTCTACCGTAGGCTTCAAAGCACTCAAAGTATGCACTTGGAAGTTTTACAAAAAGAGTGTTAGAAAACTGCTCTTTCCAAAGTAAGGTTCAACTCTGTGAGTTGAATGCACACATAACAAAGAAGAAGTTTCTGAGAATTCTTCTGTCCTGGTTTATATGAAGAAATCCCGTTTCCAACGAAGGCCTCAAAGACGTTCAAATATCCACTTGCAGACTTCATAAACAGAGTGTTTCCAAACTGCTCTATGAAAAGAAAGGTTAAACTCTGAGTTGAACACACACATCACAATGTAGTTTCTGAGAATGATACTGTTTAGTTTTTATACGAAGATATTTCCTTTTCTACCATTGACCTCAAATCGTAGAATTCTCCACTTGCAAATTCCACCAAAAGGGTGTTTCCAATCTGCTCTGTCTAAAGGAAGGTTCAACTCTGTGAGTTGAATACACACACACAAAGAAGCTACTGAGAATTCTTTTGTCAAGAATTATAAGAAATCCCGTTTCCAACGAAGGCCTCAAAGAGTTCCAAATATCCACTTGCAGACTGTACAAACTAAGTCTTTCCAAACTGCTCTATGAAAAAGAAATGTTCAACTCTGTGAGTTTAATGCACACATCACAAAGCAGTTTCTGAGAATGATTCCGTCTAGTTTTTATACGAAGATAGCCTTTTCTACCATTGGCCTCAAAGCTCTTGAAATCTCCACCTGAAAATTCGGCAAAAAGAGGGTTTCCAATCTGCTCTGTCTAAAGGAAGGTTCAACTCTCTGAGTTGAATACACACAACCCATAAGAAGTTACTTAGAATTCTTCTGTCTAGAATTATGTGAAGAAATCCCGTTTCCAACGAAAGCCTCAAAGAGGTCCAAATATCCAGTTGCAGAATTACAAACTGAGTGTTTCCAAACTCCTCTATGAAAAGAAAGGTTAAACTCTGTGAGTTGAATGCACATATCACAAAGTAGTTCCTGAGAATGATTCTGTCTAGTTTTTATACGAACATATTTCCTTTTCCACCACTGGCCTCAAGGTGCTTGAAATCTCCCCTTGCAAATTCCACAAAAAGAGTTTCAAATCTGCACTGTCTAAAGGAAAGTTCAACCCTGTGAGTTGAATACACACACAAAAAAAAAATTCACTGAGAATTCTACTGTCTATCATGACACGAAGAAATCCCGTTTACTGCGAAGGCCTCAAAGAGGTCCAAATATCCAGTTGCAAACCTTACAAACAGAGTGTTTCCAAAGTGCTCTATGAAAAGAAGTGTTAAACACTGTGAGTTGAACGCACACATCACAAAGTAGTTTCTGAGAATGATACTGTCTAGTTTTCATACGAAGATATTCCCTTTTGTACCATTGGCCTCATACTGCTAGAATTTTCCACTTGCAAATTCCACAAAAAGAGTGTTTCCAATCTGCTCTGTCTAAAGGAAGGTTCAACTCTGTGAGTTGAGTACACACACACAAAGAAGCTACTGAGAATTCTTTTGTCAAGAATTATAAGAAGAAATCCCGTTTCCAACGAAGGCCTCAAAGAGTTCCAAATATCCACTTGCACACTGCACAAACTAAGTCTTTACAAACTGCTCTAGGCAAGGAAATGTTCAACTCTATGAGTTTAATACACACATCACAAAGCAGTTTCTGAGAATGATTCCGTCTAGTTTTTATACGAAGATAGCCTTTTCTACCATTGGCCTCAAGGCTCTTGAAATCTCCACCTGAAAATTCCGCAAAAAGCGTGCTTTCAAACTATATGTCTAAAGGAAGGATCAACTCTCTGAGTTGAATACATACATCCCAAAAGAAGTTACTGAGAATTCTTCTGTCTAGCATTATGTGAAGAAATCCCGTTTCCAACGAAAGCCTCAAAGAGGTCCAAATATCCAGTTGCAGAATTTAGAAACTGACTGTTTCCAAACTCATCTATGAAAAGAAAGGTTAAACTCTGTGAGTTGAACGCACATATCACAAAGTAGATCCTGAGAATGATTCTGTCTAGTTTTTATACGAAGATATTTCCTTTTCCACCAATGGCCTCAAAGTGCTTGAAATCTCCCCTTGCAAATTCCACAGAAAAGTGTTTCAAATCTGCACTGTCTAAAGGAAGGTTCAACCCTGTGAGTTGAATACACACACACAGAAAAAAATTCACTGAGAATTCTATTGTCTATCATTACACGAAGAAATCCCGTTTACTACGAAGGCCTCAAAGAGGTCCAAATATCCAGCTGCAGACATTACAAACTGAGTGTTTCCAAAGTGCTCTATGAAAAGAAGTGTTAAACACTGTGAGTTCAATGCACACATCCCAAAGCAGTTTCTGAGAATGATTCCGTCTATTTTTTCTACGAAGATATTTCCTTTTCTACCGTTGGCCTCAAAGCGCCTGAAATCTCCACTTGCAAATTCCACGAAAAGAGAGTTTCAAATCTGCTCTGTCTAAAGGAAGGTTCCACTCTGTGAGTTGAATACACACCACAAAAAGAAGTTACTGAGAATTCTTCTGTCTAGCATTATATGAAAAATCCCGTTTCCAACGAAGGCCACAAAGAGGTCCAAATATCCACTTGCAGATTCTGCAAAAAGAGTGTTTCCAAACTGCTCTATGAAAAGAAACGTTAAACTCTGTGAGTTGAACGCAAACATCACAAAGTAGTTTCTGAGAATGACTCCGTCTAGTTTTTATACGAAGATATTTCCTTTTCTACCGTTGGCCTCAAAGCGCTTGAAGTCTCCCCCTGAAAATTCCACAAAAAGTGTTTCCAATCTGCTCCGCCTAAAGGAAGCTTCAACTCTGTGAGTTGAATACCCACAACACAAAGAAGTTACTGAGAATTCTTCTGTCTAGCATTATATGAAGAAATCCCGTTTCCAACGAAGGCCTCAAATACATCCAAATATCCAGTGGCTGACTTTACAAACTGAGTGTTTCCAAACTGCTCTATGAAAGGAAAGGTTAAACACTGTGAGTTGAACACACACGTACCAAAGTAGTTTCTGAGAATGATTCTGTCTAGTTGGCATACGAAGATGTTTCCTTTTCTACCATTGGCCTCAATGCTTTGAAATCTCCACTTGCAAATTCCACAAAAAGAGAGTTTCATATCTGCTGTTTCTAAAGGAAAGTTCAACTCTGAGAGTTGAATACACACCAGAAAAACCAGTTACTGAGAAGTCTTCTGTCTAGCATTATATGAAGAAATCCCATTTCCAACGAAGACTTCAAAGAGGTCCAAATATCCACTTCCAGATTCCGCAAAAAGGGTGTTTCGAAACAACTGTATGAAAAGAAAGGTTAAACACTGTGAGTTGAAGGCACACATTGCAAAGCAGTTTCTGAGAATGATTCCATCTAATTATTATACGAAGGTATTTCCTTTTCTATCATGGGCCTCAAAGCGCTTGATACCTCCACGTGAACATTCCACAAAAAGAGTGTTTCCAATCTACTCTGTCTAAGGGAACGTTCAACTCTGTGAGTTGAGTACACACACACAGAAAGAATTCACTGAGAGTTCTTCTGTCTGGGATTACATGAAGAAATCCCGTTTCCAACGAAGGCCTCAAAGAGGTCCAAATATCCACTTGCAGATTCTGGAAAAAGAGTGTTTCAAAACCGCTCTATGAAAAGGAATGTTGAACTCTGTGAGTTGAATGCAAACATCACAACTCAGTTTCTGAGAATGCTTCTGACTAGATTTTATGGTCAGATATTTCCTTTTCTACCGTAGGCCTCAATGCCCTCTAAATACACCCTTGCAAATTCTACAAAGAGACTGTTTAATAACTGCTCTATAGGAAGAAAGGTTGAACTCTGTGAGTTGAATGCAGAGATCACAACGTGGTTTCTGCGAATGATTCTTTGCAGTTTTTACATGAAGATATTTCGTTGTCTACCGTAGGCTTCAAAGCACTCAAAGTATTCACTTGGAACTTTTACAAAAAGAGTGTTAGAAAACTGCTCTTTCCGAAGTAAGGTTCAACTCTGTGAGTTGAATGCACACATAACAAACAAGAAGTTTCTGAGAATTCTTCTGTCCTGGTTTATATGAAAAATCCCGTTTCCAACGAAGGCCTCAAAGACGTTTAAATATCCTCTTGCAGACTTCACAAACAGAGTGTTTCCAAACTGCTCTATGAAAAGAAAGGTTAAACTCTGTGAGTTGAACGCACACATCACAAAGTAGTTTCTGAGAATGATACTGTCTAGTTTTTATACGGAGATATTTCCTTTCCTACCATTGGCGTCAAAGCGCTAGAATTCTCCACTTGCAAATTCCACAAAAAGTGGGTTTCCAATCTGCTCTGCCTAAAGGAAGGTTCAACTCTGTGAGTTGAATACACACACACAAAGAAGCTACTGAGAATTCTTTTGTCAAGAATTATAAGAAGAAATCCCGTTTCCAACGAAGGCCTCAAAGAGTTCCAAATATCCACTTGCACACTGTACAAACTAAGTCTTTCCAAACTGCTCTATGCAAAGAAATGTTCAACTCTGTGAGTTTAATGCACACATCACAAAGCAGTTTCTGAGAATGATTCCCTCTAGTTTTTATACGAAGATAGCCTTTTCTACCATTGGCCTCAAGGCTCTTGGAATCTCCACCTGAAAATTCCGCAAAAAGCGTGTTTCCAATCCGCTCTGTCTAAAGGAAGGTTCAACTCTCTGAGTTGAATACATACATCCCAAAAGAAGTTACTGAGAATTCTTCTGTCTAGCATTATGTGAAGAAATCCCGTTTCCAACGAAAGCCTCAAAGAGGTCCAAATATCCAGTTGCAGAATTTACAAACTGACTGTTTCCAAACTCATCTATGAAAAGAAAGGTTAAACTCTGTGAGTTGAATGCACATATCACAAAGTAGTTCCTGACAATGACTCTGTCTAGTTTTTATACGAAGATATTCCCTTTTCCACCAATGGCCACAAAGTGCTTGAAATCTCCCCTTGCAAATTCCACAGAAAAGTGTTTCAAATCTGTACTGTCTGAAGGAAGGTTCAACCCTGTGAGTTGAATACACACACACAGAAAAAAATTCACTGAGAATTCTATTGTCTATCATTACCCGAAGAAATCCCGTTTACTACGAAGGCCTCAAAGAGGTCCAAATATCCAGCTGCAGACATTCCAAACTGACTGTTTCCAAAGTGCTCTATGAAAAGAAGTGTTAAACACTGTGAGTTCAATGCACACATCCCAAAGCAGTTTCTGAGAATGATTCCGTCTATTTTTTCTACGAAGATATTTCCTTTTCTACCGTTGGCCTCAAAGCGCTTGAAATCTCCACTTGCAAATTCCACGAAAAGAGAGTTTCAAATCTGCTCTGTCTAAAGGAAGGTTCAACTCTGTGAGTTGAATACACACCACAAAAAGAAGTTACTGAGAATTCTTCTGTCTAGCATTATATGAAAAATCCCGTTTCCAACGAAGGCCACAAAGAGGTCCAAATATCCACTTGCAGATTCTGCAAAAAGAGTGTCTCCAAACTGCTCTATGAAAAGAAACGTTAAACTCTGTGAGTTGAACGCAAACATCACAAAGTAGTTTCTGAGAATGACTCCGTCTAGTTTTTATACGAAGATATTTCCTTTTCTACCGTTGGCCTCAAAGCGCTTGAAGTCTCCCCCTGAAAATTCCACAAAAAGTGTTTCCAATCTGCTCCGCCTAAAGGAAGCTTCAACTCTGTGAGTTGAATACCCACAACACAAAGAAGTTACTGAGAATTCTTCTGTCTAGCATTATATGAAGAAATCCCGTTTCCAACGAAGGCCTCAAATACATCCAAATATCCAGTGGCTGACTTTACAAACTGAGTGTTTCCAAACTGCTCTATGAAAGGAAAGGTTAAACACTGTGAGTTGAACACACACGTACCAAAGTAGTTTCTGAGAATGATTCTGTCTAGTTGGCATACGAAGATATTTCCTTTTCTACCATTGGCCTCAATGCTTTGAAATCTCCACTTGCAAATTCCACAAAAAGAGAGTTTCATATCTGCTGTTTCTAAAGGAAAGTTCAACTCTGAGAGTTGAATACACACCAGAAAAACCAGTTACTGAGAAGTCTTCTGTCTAGCATTATATGAAGAAATCCCATTTCCAACGAAGACTTCAAAGAGGTCCAAATATCCACTTCCAGATTCCGCAAAAAGGGTGTTTCGAAACAACTGTATGAAAAGAAAGGTTAAACACTGTGAGTTGAAGGCACACATTGCAAAGCAGTTTCTGAGAATGATTCCATCTAATTATTATACGAAGGTATTTCCTTTTCTATCATGGGCCTCAAAGCGCTTGATACCTCCACGTGAACATTCCACAAAAAGAGTGTTTCCAATCTACTCTGTCTAAGGGAACGTTCAACTCTGTGAGTTGAGTACACACACACAGAAAGAATTCACTGAGAGTTCTTCTGTCTGGGATTACATGAAGAAATCCCGTTTCCAACGAAGGCCTCAAAGAGGTCCAAATATCCACTTGCAGATTCTGGAAAAAGAGTGTTTCAAAACCGCTCTATGAAAAGGAATGTTGAACTCTGTGAGTTGAATGCAAACATCACAACTCAGTTTCTGAGAATGCTTCTGACTAGATTTTATGGTCAGATATTTCCTTTTCTACCGTAGGCTTCAATTCCCTCTAAATACACCCTTGCAAATTCTACAAAGAGACTGTTTAATAACTGCTCTACAGGAAGAAAGGTTGAACTCTGTGAGTTGAATGCAGAGATCACAACGTGGTTTCGGCGAATGATTCTTCCTAGTTTTTACTTGAAGATATTTCGTTGTCTACCGTAGGCTTCAAAGCACTCAAAGTATTCACTTGGAACTTTTACAAAAAGAGTGTTAGAAAACTGCTCTTTCCAAAGTAAGGTTCAACTCTGTGAGTTGAATGCACACATAACAAACAAGAAGTTTCTGAGAATTCTTCTGTCCTGGTTTATATGAAAAAATCCCGTTTCCAACGAAGGCCTCAAAGACGTTTAAATATCCACTTGCAGACTTCACAAACAGAGTGTTTCCAAACTGCTCTATGAAAAGAAACGTTAAACTCTGTGAGTTGAACGCAAACATCACAAAGTAGTTTCTGAGAATGACTCCGTCTAGTTTTTATACGAAGATATTTCCTTTTCTACCGTTGACCTCAAAGCGCTTGAAGTCTCCCCCTGAAAATTCCACAAAAAGTGTTTCCAATCTGCTCCGCCTAAAGGAAGCTTCAGCTCTGTGAGTTGAATACCCACAACCCAAAGAAGTTACTGAGAATTCTTCTGTCTAGCATTACATGAAGAAATCCCGTTTCCAACGAAGGTCTCAAATACATCCAGATATCCAGTTGCTGACTTTACAAACTGAGTGTTTCCAAACTGCTCTATGAAAAGAAAGGTTAAACACTGTGAGTTGAACACACACGTACCAAAGTAGTTTCTGAGAATGATTCTGTCTAGTTTGCATACGAAGATATTTCCTTTTCTACCATTGGCCTCAAAGCTTTGAAATCTCCACTTGCAAATTCCACAAAAAGAGAGTTTCAAATCTGGTGTTTCTAAAGGAAAGTTCAACTCTGAGAGTTGAATACACACCAGAGAAAGCAGTTACTGAGAATTCTTCTGTCTAGCATTATATGAAGAAATCCCATTTCCAACGAAGACTTCAAAGAGGTCCAAATATCCACTTGCAGATTCTGCAAAAAGAGTGTTTCAAAACCGCTCCATGAAAAGGAATGTTGAACTCTGTGAGTTGAATGCAAACATCACAACTCAGTTTCTGAGAATGCTTCTGACTAGATTTTATGGTCAGATATTTCCTTTTCTACCGTAGGCTTCAATGCCCTCTAAATACACCCTTGCAAATTCTACAAAGAGAGTGTTTAATAACTGCTCTATAGGAAGAAACGTTGAACTCTGTGAGTTGAATGCAGAGATCACAACGTGGTTTCGGCGAATGATTCTTTGTAGTTTTTACATGCAGATATTTCGTTGTCTACCGTAGGCTTCAAAGCACTCAAAGTATGCACTTGGAAGTTTTACAAAAAGAGTGTTAGAAACCTGCTCTTTCCAAAGTAAGGTTCAACTCTGTGAGTTGAATGCACACATAACAAAGAAGAAGTTTCTGAGAATTCTTCTGTCCTGGTTTATAGGAAGAAATCCCGTTTCCAACGAAGGCCTCAAAGAACGTTTAAATATCCACTTGCAGACTTCACAAACAGAGTGTTTCCAAACTGCTCTATGAAAAGAAAGGGTAAACACTGTGAGTTGAACGCACACATCACAAAGTAGTTTCTGAGAATGATACTGTCTAGTTTTTATACGAAGATATTTCCTTTTGTACCATTGGCCTCATACTGCTAGAATTTTCCACTTGCAAATTCCACAAAAAGAGTGTTTCCAATCTGCTCTGTCTAAAGGAAGGTTCAACTCTGTGAGTTGAGTACACACACACAAAGAAGCTACTGAGAATTCTTTTGTCAAGAATTATAAGAAGAAATCCCGTTTCCAACCAAGGCCTCAAAGAGTTCCAAATATCCACTTGCACACTGCACAAACTAAGTCTTTCCATACTGCTCTATGCAAAGAAATGTTCAAATCTGTGAGTTTAATACACACATCACAAAGCAGTTTCTGAGAATGATACTGTCTAGTTTTTATACGAAGATATTTCCTTTTGTACCATTGGCCTCTATACTGCCAGAATTTTCCACTTGCAAATTCCACAAAAAGAGTGTTTCCAATCCGCTCTGTCTAAAGGAAGGTTCAACTCTCTGATTTGAATACATACATCCCAAAAGAAGTTACTGAGAATTCTTCTGTCTAGCATTATGTGAAGAAATCCCGTTTCCAACGAAAGCCTCAAAGAGGCCCAAATATCCAGTTGCAGCATTTACAAACTGACTGTTTCCAAACTCATCTATGAAAAGAAAGGTTAAACTCTGTGAGTTGAATGCACATATCACAAAGTAGTTCCTGAGAATGATTCTGTCTAGTTTTTATACGAAGATATTTCCTTTTCCACCAATGGCCTCAAAGTGCTTGAAATCTCCCCTTGCAAATTCCACAGACAAGTGTCTCAAATCTGCACTGTCTAAAGGAAGGTTCAACCCTGTGAGTTGAATACACACACACAGAAAAAAATTCACTGAGAATTCTATTGTCTATCATTACACGAAGAAATCCCGTTTACTATGAAGGCCTCAAAGAGGTCCAAATATCCAGCTGCAGACATTACAAACTGAGTGTTTCCAAAGTGCTCTATGAAAAGAAGTGTTAAACACTGTGAGTTCAATGCACACATCCCAAAGCAGTTTCTGAGAATGATTCCGTCTATTTTTTCTACGAAGATATTTCCTTTTCTACCGTTGGCCTCAAAGCGCTTGAAATCTCCACTTGCAAATTCCACAAAAAGAGAGTTTCAAATCTGCTCTGTCTAAAGGAAGGTTCAACTCTGTGAGTTGAATACACACCACAAAAAGAAGTTACTGAGAATTCTTCTGTCTAGCATTATATGAAAAATCCCGTTTCCAACGAAGGCCACAAAGAGGTCCAAATATCCACTTGCAGATTCTGCAAAAAGAGTGTTTCCAAACTGCTCTATGAAAAGAAACGTTAAACTCTGTGAGTTGAACGCAAACATCACAAAGTAGTTTCTGAGAATGACTCCGTCTAGTTTTTATACGAAGATATTTCCTTTCCTACCATTCACTTCAAAGCGCTTGAAGTCTCCCCCTGAAAATTCCACAAAAAGTGTTTCCAATCTGCTCCGCCTAAAGGAAGCTTCAACTCTGTGACTTGAATACCCACAACCCAAAGAAGTTACTGAGAATTCTTCTGTCTAGCATTATATGAAGAAATCCCGTTTCCAACGAAGGCCTCAAATACATCCAAATATCCAGTTGCTGACTTTACAAACTGAGTGTTTCCAAACTGCTCTATGAAAAGAAAGGTTAAACACTGTGAGTTGAACACACACGTACCAAAGTAGTTTCTGAGAATGATTCTGTCTAGTTTGCATACGAAGATATTTCCTTTTCTACCATTGGCCTCAAAGCTCTGAAATCTCCACTTGCAAATTCCACAAAAAGAGAGTTTCAAATCTGCTGTTTCTAAAGGAAAGTTCAACTCTGAGAGTTGAATACACACCAGAAAAAGCAGTTACTGAGAAGTCTTCTGTCTAGCATTATATGAAGAAATCCCATTTCCAACGAAGACTTCAAAGAGGTCCAAATATCCACTTGCAGATTCTGCAAAAAGAGTGTTTCGAAACAATTGTATGAAAAGAAAGGTTAAACACTGTGAGTTGAACGCACACATTGCAAAGCAGTTTCTGAGAATGATTCCGTCTAATTATTATACGAAGGTATTTCCTTTTCTATCATTGGCCTCAAAGCGCTTGATACCTCCACCTGAAAATTCCACAAAAAGAGTGTTTCCAATCTACTCTGTCTAAAGGAACGTTCAACTCTGTGAGTTGAATACACACACACAGAAAGAATTCACTGAGAATTCTTCTGTCTGGCATTACATGAAGAAATCCCGTTTTCAACGAAGGCCTCAAAGAGGTCCAAATATCCACTTGCAGATTCTGCAAAAAGAGTGTTTCAAAACCGCTCCATGAAAAGGAATGTTGAACTCTGTGAGTTGAATGCAAACATCACAACTCAGTTTCTGAGAATGCTTCTGACTAGATTTTATGGTAAGATATTTCCTTTTCTACCGTAGGCTTCAATGCCCTCTAAATACACCCTTGCAAATTCTACAAAGAGACTGTTTCATAACTGCTCTATAGGAAGAAAGGTTGAACTCTGTGAGTTGAATGCAGAGATCACAACGTGGTTTCTGCGAATGATTCTTTGTAGTTTTTACATGAAGATATTTCGTTGTCAACCGTAGGCTTCAAAGCACTCAAAGTATTCACTTGGAACTTTTACAAAAAGAGTGTTAGAAAACTGCTCTTTCCAAAGTAAGGTTCAACTCTGTGAGTTGAATGCACACATAACAATCAAGACGTTTCTGAGAATTCTTCTGTCCTGGTTTATATGAAAAAATCCCGTTTCCAACGAAGGCCTCAAAGACGTTTAAATATCCACTTGCAGACTTCACAAACAGAGGGTTTCCAAACTGCTCTATGAAAAGAAAGGTTAAACTCTGTGAGTTGAACGCACACATCACAAAGTAGCTTCTGAGAATGATACTGTCTAGTTTTTATACGAAGATATTTCCTTTCTACCATTGGCGTCAAAGCGCTAGAATTCTCCACTTGCAAATTCCACAAAAAGAGTGTTTCCAATCTGCTCTGTCTCAAGGAAGGTTCAACTCTGTGAGTTGAATACACACACACAAAGAAGCTACTGAGAATTCTTTTGTCAAGAATTATAAGAAGAAATCCCGTTTCCAACGAAGGCCTCAAAGAGTTCCAAATATCCACTTGCACACTGCACAAACTAAGTCTTTCCAAACTGCTCTATGCAAAGAAATGTTCAACTCTGTGAGTTTAATACACACATCACAAAGCAGTTTCTGAGAATGATTCCCTCTAGTTTTTATACGAAGATAGCCTTTTCTACCATTGGCCTCAAGGCTCTTGGAATCTCTACCTGAAAATTCCGCAAAAAGCGTGTTTCCAATCCGCTCTGTCTAAAGGAAGGTTCAACTCTCTGAGTTGAATACATACATCCCAAAAGAAGTTACTGAGAATTCTTCTGTCTAGCATTATGTGAAGAAATCCCGTTTCCAACGAAAGCCTCAAAGAGGTCCAAATATCCAGTTGCAGAATTTACAAACTGACTGTTTCCAAACTCATCTATGAAAAGAAAGGTTAAACTCTGTGAGTTGAATGCACATATCACAAAGTAGTTCCTGACAATGACTCTGTCTAGTTTTTATATGAAGATATTTCCTTTTCCACCAATGGCCTCAAAGTGCTTGAAATCTCCCCTTGCAAATTCCACAGACAAGTGTTTCAAATCTGCACTGTCTAAAGGAAGGTTCAACCCTGTGAGTTGAATACACACACACAGAAAAAAATTCACTGAGAATTCTATTGTCTATCATTACACGAAGAAATCCCGTTTACTACGAAGGCCTCAAAGAGGTCCAAATATCCAGCTGCAGACATTACAAACTGAGTGTTTCCAAAGTGCTCTATGAAAAGAAGTGTTAAACACTGTGAGTTCAATGCACACATCCCAAAGCAGTTTCTGAGAATGATTCCGTCTATTTTTTCTACGAAGATATTTCCTTTTCTACCGTTGGCCTCAAAGCGCTTGAAATCTCCACTTGCAAATTCCACAAAAAGAGAGTTTCAAATCTGCTCTGTCTAAAGGAAGGTTCAACTCTGTGAGTTGAATACACACCACAAAAAGAAGTTACTGAGAATTCTTCTGTCTAGCATTATATGAAAAATCCCGTTTCCAACGAAGGCCACAAAGAGGTCCAAATATCCACTTGCAGATTCTGCAAAAAGAGTGTTTCCAAACTGCTCTATGAAAAGAAACGTTAAACTCTGTGAGTTGAACGCAAACATCACAAAGTAGTTTCTGAGAATGACTCCGTCTAGTTTTTATACGAAGATATTTCCTTTTCTACCATTCACTTCAAAGCGCTTGAAGTCTCCCCCTGAAAATTCCAGAAAAAGTGTTTCCAATCTGCTCCGCCTAAAGGAAGCTTCAACTCTGTGAGTTGAATACCCACAACCCAAAGAAGTTACTGAGAATTCTTCTGTCTAGCACTATATGAAGAAATCCCGTTTCCAACGAAGGCCTCAAATACATCCAAATATCCAGTTGCTGACTTTACAAACTGGGTGTTTCCAAACTGCTCTATGAAAAGAAAGGTTAAACACTGTGAGTTGAACACACACGTACCAAAGTAGTTTCTGAGAATGATTCTGTCTAGTTTGCATACGAAGATATTTCCTTTTCTACCATTGGCCTCAAAGCTTTGAAATCTCCACTTGCAAATTCCACAAAAAGAGAGTTTCAACTCTGCTGTTTCTAAAGGAAAGTTCAACTCTGAGAGTTGAATACACACCAGAAAAAGCAGTTACTGAGAAGTCTTCTGTCTAGCATTATATGAAGAAATCCCATTTCCAACGAAGACTTCAAAGAGGTCCAAATATCCACTTGCAGATTCTGCAAAAAGAGTGTTTCGAGACAACTGTATGAAAAGAAAGGTTAAACACTGTGAGTTGAACGCACACATTGCAAAGCAGTTTCTGAGAATGATTCCGTCTAATTATTATACGAAGGTATTTCCTTTTCTATCATTGGCCTCAAAGCGCTTGATACCTCCACCTGAAAATTCCACAAAAAGAGTGTTTCCAATCTACTCTGTCTAAAGGAACGTTCAACTCTGTGAGTTGAATACACACACACAGAAAGAATTCACTGAGAATTCTTCTGTCTGGCATTACATGAAGAAATCCCGTTTTCAACGAAGGCCTCAAAGAGGTCCAAATATCCACTTGCAGATTCTGCAAAAAGAGTGTTTCAAAACCGCTCCATGAAAAGGAATGTTGAACTCTGTGAGTTGAATGCAAACATCACAACTCAGTTTCTGAGAATGCTTCTGACTAGATTTTATGGTCAGATATTTCCTTTTCTACCGTAGGCTTCAATGCCCTCTAAATACACCCTTGCAAATTCTACAAAGAGACTGTTTAATAACTGCTCTATAGGAAGAAACGTTGAACTCTGTGAGTTGAATGCAGAGATCACAACGTGGTTTCGGCGAATGATTCTTTGTAGTTTTTACATGAAGATATTTCGTTGTCAACCGTAGGCTTCAAAGCACTCAAAGTATTCACTTGGAACTTTTACAAAAAGAGTGTTAGAAAACTGCTCTTTCCAAAGTAAGGTTCAACTCTGTGAGTTGAATGCACACATAACAATCAAGAAGTTTCTGAGAATTCTTCTGTCCTGGTTTATATGAAAAAATCCCGTTTCCAACGAAGGCCTCAAAGACGTTTAAATATCCACTTGCAGACTTCACAAACAGAGGGTTTCCAAACTGCTCTATGAAAAGAAAGGTTAAACTCTGTGAGTTGAACGCACACATCACAAAGTAGCTTCTGAGAATGATACTGTCTAGTTTTTATACGAAGATATTTCCTTTCTACCATTGGCGTCAAAGCGCTAGAATTCTCCACTTGCAAATTCCACAAAAAGAGTGTTTCCAATCTGCTCTGTCTAAAGGAAGGTTCAACTCTGTGAGTTGAATACACACACACAAAGAAGCTACTGAGAATTCTTTTGTCAAGAATTATAAGAAGAAATCCCGTTTCCAACGAAGGCCTCAAAGAGTTCCAAATATCCACTTGCACACTGCACAAACTAAGTCTTTCCAAACTGCTCTATGCAAAGAAATGTTCAACTCTGTGAGTTTAATACACACATCACAAAGCAGTTTCTGAGAATGATACTGTCTAGTTTTTATACGAAGATATTTCCTTTTGTACCATTGGCCTCATACTGCTAGAATTTTCCACTTGCAAATTCCACAAAAAGAGTGTTTCCAATCCGCTCTGTCTAAAGGAAGGTTCAACTCTCTGATTTGAATACATACATCCCAAAAAAGTTACTGAGAATTCTTCTGTCTAGCATTATGTGAAGAAATCCCGTTTCCATCGAAAGCCTCCAAGAGGTCCAAATATCCAGTTGCAGAATTTACAAACTGACTGTTTCCAAACTCATCTATGAAAAGAAAGGTTAAACTCTGTGAGTTGAATGCACATATCACAAAGTAGTTCCTGAGAATGATTCTGTCTAGTTTTTATACGAAGATATTTCCTTTTCCACCAATGGCCTCAAAGTGCTTGAAATCTCCCCTTGCAAATTCCACAGACAAGTGTTTCAAATCTGCACTGTCTAAAGGAAGGTTCAACCCTGTGAGTTGAATACACACACACAGAAAAAAATTCACTGAGAATTCTATTGTCTATCATTACACGAAGAAATCCCGTTTACTACGAAGGCCTCAAAGAGGTCCAAATATCCAGCTGCAGACATTACAAACTGAGTGTTTCCAAAGTGCTCTATGAAAAGAAGTGTTAAACACTGTGAGTTCAATGCACACATCCCAAAGCAGTTTCTGAGAATGATTCCGTCTATTTTTTCTACGAAGATATTTCCTTTTCTGCCGTTGGCCTCAAAGCGCTTGAAATCTCCACTTGCAAATTCCACAAAAAGAGAGTTTCAAATCTGCTCTGTCTAAAGGAAGGTTCAACTCTGTGAGTTGAATACACACCACAAAAAGAAGTTACTGAGAATTCTTCTGTCTAGCATTATATGAAAAATCCCGTTTCCAACGAAGGCCACAAAGAGGTCCAAATATCCACTTGCAGATTCTGCAAAAAGAGTGTTTCCAAACTGCTCTATGAAAAGAAACGTTAAACTCTGTGAGTTGAACGCAAACATCACAAAGTAGTTTCTGAGAATGACTCCGTCTAGTTTTTATACGAAGATATTTCCTTTCCTACCATTCACTTCAAAGCGCTTGAAGTCTCCCCCTGAAAATTCCACAAAAAGTGTTTCCAATCTGCTCCGCCTAAAGGAAGCTTCAACTCTGTGAGTTGAATACCCACAACCCAAAGAAGTTACTGAGAATTCTTCTGTCTAGCATTATATGAAGAAATCCCGTTTCCAACGAAGGCCTCAAATACATCCAAATATCCAGTTGCTGACTTTACAAACTGAGTGTTTCCAAACTGCTCTATGAAAAGAAAGGTTAAACACGGTGAGTTGAACACACACGTACCAAAGTAGTTTCTGAGAATGATTCTGTCTAGTTTGCATACGAAGATATTTCCTTTTCTACCATTGGCCTCAAAGCTCTGAAATCTCCACTTGCAAATTCCACAAAAAGAGAGTTTCAAATCTGCTGTTTCTAAAGGAAAGTTCAACTCTGAGAGTTGAATACACACCAGAAAAAGCAGTTACTGAGAAGTCTTCTGTCTAGCATTATATGAAGAAATCCCATTTCCAACGAAGACTTCAAAGAGGTCCAAATATCCACTTGCAGATTCTGCAAAAAGAGTGTTTCGAAACAACTGTATGAAAAGAAAGGTTAAACACTGTGAGTTGAACGCACACATTGCAAAGCAGTTTCTGAGAATGATTCCGTCTAATTATTATACGAAGGTATTTCCTTTTCTATCATTGGCCTCAAAGCGCTTGATACCTCCACCTGAAAATTCCACAAAAAGAGTGTTTCCAATCTACTCTGTCTAAAGGAACGTTCAACTCTGTGAGTTGAATACACACACACAGAAAGAATTCACTGAGAATTCTTCTGTCTGGCATTACATGAAGAAATCCCGTTTCCAACGAAGGCCTCAAAGAGGTCCAAATATCCACTTGCAGATTCTGCAAAAAGAGTGTTTCAAAACCGCTCCATTAAAAGGAATGTTGAACTCTGTGAGTTGAATGCAAACATCACAACTCAGTTTCTGAGAATGCTTCTGACTAGATTTTATGGTAAGATATTTCCTTTTCTACCGTAGGCTTCAATGCCCTGTAAATACACCCTTGCAAATTCTACAAAGAGACTGCTTCATAACTGCTCTATAGGAGGAAAGGTTCAACTCTGTGAGTTGAATGCAGAGATCACAACGTGGTTTCTGCGAATGATTCTTTGTAGTTTTTACATGAAGATATTTCGTTGTCTACCGTAAGGCTTCAAAGCACTCAAAGTATTCACTTGGAACTTTTACAAAAAGAGTGTTAGAAAACTGCTCTTTCCAAAGTAAGGTTCAACTCTGTGAGTTGAATGCACACATAACAAACAAGAAGTTTCTGAGAGTTCTTCTGTCCTGGTTTATATGAAGAAATCCCGTTTCCAACGAAGGCCTCAAAGACGTTTAAATATCCACTTGCAGACTTCACAAACAGAGGGTTTCCAAACTGCTCTATGAAAAGAAAGGTTAAACTCTGTGAGTTGAACGCACACATCACAAAGTAGCTTACTGAGAATGATACTGTCTAGTTTTTATACGAAGTATATTTCCTTTCTACCATTGGCGTCAAAGCGCTAGAATTCTCCACTTGCAAATTCCACAAAAAGAGTGTTTCCAATCTGCTCTGTCTAAAGGAAGGTTCAACTCTGTGAGTTGAATACACACACACAAAGAAGCTACTGAGAATTCTTTTTTCAAGAAATTATAAGAAGAAATCCCGTTTCCAACGAAGGCCTCAAAGAGTTCCAAATATCCACTTGCACACTGCACAAACTAAGTCTTTCCAAACTGCTCTATGCAAAGAAATGTTCAACTCTGTGAGTTTAATACACACATCACAAAGCAGTTTCTGAGAATGATACTGTCTAGTTTTTATACGAAGATATTTCCTTTTGTACCATTGGCCTCATACTGCTAGAATTTTCCACTTGCAAATTCCACAAAAAGAGGGTTTCCAATCCGCTCTGTCTAAAGGAAGGTTCAACTCTCTGATTTGAATACATACATCCCAAAAGAAGTTACTGAGAATTCTTCTGTCTAGCATTATGTGAAGAAATCCCGTTTCCAACGAAAGCCTCAAAGAGGTCCAAATATCCAGTTGCAGAATTTACAAACTGACTGTTTCCAAACTCATCTATGAAAAGAAAGGTTGAACTCTGGGAGTTGAATGCACATATCACAAAGTAGTTCCTGAGAATGATTCTGTCTAGTTTTCATACGAAGATATTTCCTTTTCCACCAATGGCCTCAAAGTGCTTGAAATCTCCCCTTGCAAATTCCACAGACAAGTGTTTCAAATCTGCACTGTCTAAAGGAAGGTTCAACCCTGTGAGTTGAATACACACACACAGAAAAAAATTCACTGAGAATTCTATTGTCTATCATTACACGAAGAAATCCCGTTTACTACGAAGGCCTCAAAGAGGTCCAAATATCCAGCTGCAGACATTACAAACTGAGTGTTTCCAAAGTGCTCTATGAAAAGAAGTGTTAAACACTGTGAGTTCAATGCACACATCCCAAAGCAGTTTCTGAGAATGATGCCGTCTATTTTTTCTACAAAGATATTTCCTTTTCTGCCGTTGGCCTCAAAGCGCTTGAAATCTCCACTTGCAAATTCCACAAAAAGAGAGTTTCAAATCTGCTCTGTCTAAAGGAAGGTTCAACTCTGTGAGTTGAATACACACCACAAAAAGAAGTTACTGAGAATTCTTCTGTCTAGCATTATATGAAAAATCCCGTTTCCAACGAAGGCCACAAAGAGGTCCAAATATCCACTTGCAGATTCTGCAAAAAGAGTGTTTCCAAACTGCTCTATGGAAAGAAACGTTAAACTCTGTGAGTTGAACGCAAACATCACAAAGTAGTTTCTGAGAATGACTCCGTCTAGTTTTTATACGAAGATATTTCCTTTCCTACCATTCACTTCAAAGCGCTTGAAGTCTCCCCCTGAAAATTCCACAAAAAGTGTTTCCAATCTGCTCCGCCTAAAGGAAGCTTCAACTCTGTGACTTGAATACCCACAACCCAAAGAAGTTACTGAGAATTCTTCTGTCTAGCATTATATGAAGAAATCCCGTTTCCAACGAAGGCCTCAAATACATCCAAATATCCAGTTGCTGACTTTACAAACTGAGTGTTTCCAAACTGCTCTATGAAAAGAAAGGTTAAACACTGTGAGTTGAACACACACGTACCAAAGTAGTTTCTGAGAATGATTCTGTCTAGTTTGCATACGAAGATATTTCCTTTTCTACCATTGGCCTCAAAGCTCTGAAATCTCCACTTGCAAATTCCACAAAAAGAGAGTTTCAAATCTGCTGTTTCTAAAGGAAAGTTCAACTCTGAGAGTTGAATACACACCAGAAAAAGCAGTTACTGAGAAGTCTTCTGTCTAGCATTATATGAAGAAATCCCATTTCCAACGAAGACTTCAAAGAGGTCCAAATATCCACTTGCAGATTCTGCAAAAAGAGTGTTTCGAAACAACTGTATGAAAAGAAAGGTTAAACACTGTGAGTTGAACGCACACATTGCAAAGCAGTTTCTGAGAATGATTCCGTCTAATTATTATACGAAGGTATTTCCTTTTCTATCATTGGCCTCAAAGCGCTTGATACCTCCACCTGAAAATTCCACAAAAAGAGTGTTTCCAATCTACTCTGTCTAAAGGAACGTTCAACTCTGTGAGTTGAATACACACACACAGAAAGAATTCACTGAGAATTCTTCTGTCTGGCATTACATGAAGAAATCCCGTTTCCAACGAAGGCCTCAAAGAGGTCCAAATATCCACTTGCAGATTCTGCAAAAAGAGTGTTTCAAAACCGCTCCATTAAAAGGAATGTTGAACTCTGTGAGTTGAATGCAAACATCACAACTCAGTTGCTGAGAATGCTTCTGACTAGATTTTATGGTAAGATATTTCCTTTTCTACCGTAGGCTTCAATGCCCTCTAAATACACCCTTGCAAATTCTAGAAAGAGACTGTTTCATAACTGCTCTATAGGAAGAAAGGTTGAACTCTGTGAGTTGAATGCAGAGATCACAACGTGGTTTCTGCGAATGATTCTTTGTAGTTTTTACATGAAGATATTTCGTTGTCAACCGTAGGCTTCAAAGCACTCAAAGTATTCACTTGGAACTTTTACAAAAAGAGTATTAGAAAACTGCTCTTTCCAAAGTAAGGTTCAACTCTGTGAGTTGAATGCACACATAACAATCAAGAAGTTTCTGAGAATTCTTCTGTCCTGGTTTATATGAAAAAATCCCGTTTCCAACGAAGGCCTCAAAGCACGTTTAAATATCCACTTGCAGACTTCACAAACAGAGTGTTTCCAAACTGCTCTATGAAAAGAAAGGTTAAACTCTGTGAGTTGAACGCACACATCACAAAGTAGCTTCTGAGAATGATACTGTCTAGTTTTTATACGAAGATATTTCCTTTCTACCATTGGTGTCAAAGCGCTAGAATTCTCCACTTGCAAATTCCACAAAAAGAGTGTTTCCAATCTGCTCTGTCTAAAGGAAGGTTCAACTCTGTGAGTTGAATACACACACACAAAGAAGCTACTGAGAATTCTTTTGTCAAGAATTATAAGAAGAAATCCCGTTTCCAACGAAGGCCTCAAAGAGTTCCAAATATCCACTTGCACACTGCACAAACTAAGTCTTTCCAAACTGCTCTATGCAAAGAAATGTTCAACTCTGTGAGTTTAATACACACATCACAAAGCAGTTTCTGAGAATGATACTGTCTAGTTTTTATACGAAGATATTTCCTTTTGTACCATTGGCCTCATACTGCTAGAATTTTCCACTTGCAAATTCCACAAAAAGAGTGTTTCCAATCCGCTCTGTCTAAAGGAAGGTTCAACTCTCTGATTTGAATACATACATCCCAAAAGAATTTACTGAGAATTCTTCTGTCTAGCATTATGTGAAGAAATCCCGTTTCCAACGAAAGCCTCAAAGAGGTCCAAATATCCAGTTGCAGAATTTACAAACTGACTGTTTCCAAACTCATCTATGAAAAGAAAGGTTAAACTCTGTGAGTTGAATGCACATATCACAAAGTAGTTCCTGAGAATGATTCTGTCTAGTTTTCATACGAAGATATTTCCTTTTCCACCAATGGCCTCAAAGTGCTTGAAATCTCCCCTTGCAAATTCCACAGACAAGTGTTTCAAATCTGCACTGTCTAAAGGAAGGTTCAACCCTGTGAGTTGAATACACACACACAGAAAAAAATTCACTGAGAATTCTATTGTCTATCATTACACGAAGAAATCCCGTTTACCACGAAGGCCTCAAAGAGGTCCAAATATCCAGCTGCAGACATTACAAACTGAGTGTTTCCAAAGTGCTCTATGAAAAGAAGTGTTAAACACTGTGAGTTCAATGCACACATCCCAAAGCAGTTTACTGAGAATGATGCCGTCTATTTTTTCTACGAAGATATTTCCTTTTCTGCCGTTGGCCTCAAAGCGCTTGAAATCTCCACTTGCAAATTCCACAAAAAGAGAGTTTCAAATCTGCTCTGTCTAAAGGAAGGTTCAACTCTGTGAGTTGAATACACCCCACAAAAAGAAGTTACTGAGAATTCTTCTGTCTAGCATTATATGAAAAATCCCGTTTCCAACGAAGGCCACAAAGAGGTCCAAATATCCACTTGCAGATTCTGCAAAAAGAGTGTTTCCAAACTGCTCTATGAAAAGAAACGTTAAACTCTGTGAGTTGAACGCAAACATCACAAAGTAGTTTCTGAGAATGACTCCGTCTAGTTTTTATACGAAGATATTTCCTTTCCTACCATTCACTTCAAAGCGCTTGAAGTCTCCCCCTGAAAATTCCACAAAAAGTGTTTCCAATCTGCTCCGCCTAAAGGAAGCTTCAACTCTGTGACTTGAATACCCACAACCCAAAGAAGTTACTGAGAATTCTTCTGTCTAGCATTATATGAAGAAATCCCGTTTCCAACGAAGGCCTCAAATACATCCAGATATCCAGTTGCTGACTTTACAAACTGAGTGTTTCCAAATTGCTCTATGAAAGGAAAGGTTGAACACTGTGAGTTGAACACACACGTACCAAAGTAGTTTCTGAGAATGATTCTGTCTAGTTTGCATACGAAGATATTTCCTTTTCTACCATTGGCCTCAAAGCTCTGAAATCTCCACTTGCAAATTCCACAAAAAGAGAGTTTCAAATCTGCTGTTTCTAAAGGAAAGTTCAACTCTGAGAGTTGAATACACACCAGAAAAAGCAGTTACTGAGAAGTCTTCTGTCTAGCATTATATGAAGAAATCCCATTTCCAACGAAGACTTCAAAGAGGTCCAAATATCCACTTGCAGATTCTGCAAAAAGAGTGTTTCGAAACAACTGTATGAAAAGAAAGGTTAAACACTGTGAGTTGAACGCACACATTGCAAAGCAGTTTCTGAGAATGATTCCGTCTAATTATTATACGAAGGTATTTCCTTTTCTATCATTGGCCTCAAAGCGCTTGATACCTCCACCTGAAAATTCCACAAAAAGAGTGTTTCCAATCTACTCTGTCTAAAGGAACGTTCAACTCTGTGAGTTGAATACACACACACAGAAAGAATTCACTGAGAATTCTTCTGTCTGGCATTACATGAAGAAATCCCGTTTCCAACGAAGGCCTCAAAGAGGTCCAAATATCCACTTGCAGATTCTGCAAAAAGAGTGTTTCAAAACCGCTCCATTAAAAGGAATGTTGAACTCTGTGAGTTGAATGCAAACATCACAACTCAGTTGCTGAGAATGCTTCTGACTAGATTTTATGGTAAGATATTTCCTTTTCTACCGTAGGCTTCAATGCCCTCTAAATACACCCTTGCAAATTCTACAAAGAGACTGTTTCACAACTGCTCTATAGGAAGAAAGGTTCAACTCTGTGAGTTGAATGCAGAGATCACAACGTGGTTTCTGCGAATGATTCTTTGTAGTTTTTACATGAAGATATTTCGTTGTCAACCGTAGGCTTCAAAGCACTCAAAGTATTCACTTGGAACTTTTACAAAAAGAGTGTTAGAAAACTGCTCTTTCCAAAGTAAGGTTCAACTCTGTGAGTTGAATGCACACATAACAATCAAGAAGTTTCTGAGAATTCTTCTGTCCTGGTTTATAGGAACAAATCCCGTTTCCAACGAAGGCCTCAAAGACGTTTAAATATCCACTTGCAGACTTCACAAACAGAGGGTTTCCAAACTGCTCTATGAAAAGAAAGGTTAAACTCTGTGAGTTGAACGCACACATCACAAAGTAGCTTCTGAGAATGATACTGTCTAGTTTTTATACGAAGATATTTCCTTTCTACCATTGGCGTCAAAGCGCTAGAATTCTCCACTTGCAAATTCCACAAAAAGAGTGTTTCCAATCTGCTCTGTCTAAAGGAAGGTTCAACTCTGTGAGTTGAATACACACACACAAAGAAGCTACTGAGAATTCTTTTGTCAAGAATTATAAGAAGAAATCCCGTTTCCAACGAAGGCCTCAAAGAGTTCCAAATATCCACTTGCACACTGCACAAACTAAGTCTTTCCAAACTGCTCTATGCAAAGAAATGTTCAACTCTGTGAGTTTAATACACACATCACAAAGCAGTTTCTGAGAATGATACTGTCTAGTTTTTATACGAAGAATATTTCCTTTTGTACCATTGGCCTCATACTGCTAGAATTTTCCACTTGCAAATTCCACAAAAAGAGTGTTTCCAATCCGCTCTGTCTAAAGGAAGGTTCAACTCTCTGATTTGAATACATACATCCCAAAAGAAGTTACTGAGAATTCTTCTGTCTAGCATTATGTGAAGAAATCCCGTTTCCAACGAAAGCCTCAAAGAGGTCCAAATATCCAGTTGCAGAATTTACAAACTGACTGTTTCCAAACTCATCTATGAAAAGAAAGGTTAAACTCTGGGAGTTGAATGCACATATCACAAAGTAGTTCCTGAGAATGATTCTGTCTAGTTTTTATACGAAGATATTTCCTTTTCCACCAATGGCCTCAAAGTGCTTGAAATCTCCCCTTGCAAATTCCACAGACAAGTGTTTCAAATCTACACTGTCTAAAGGAAGGTTCAACCCTGTGAGTTGAATACACACACACAGAAAAAAATTCACTGAGAATTCTATTGTCTATCATTACACGAAGAAATCCCGTTTACTACGAAGGCCTCAAAGAGGTCCAAATATCCAGCTGCAGACATTACAAACTGAGTGTTTCCAAAGTGCTCTATGAAAAGAAGTGTTAAACACTGTGAGTTCAATGCACACATCCCAAAGCAGTTTCTGAGAATGATGCCGTCTATTTTTTCTACGAAGATATTTCCTTTTCTGCCGTTGGCCTCAAAGCGCTTGAAATCTCCACTTGCAAATTCCACAAAAAGAGAGTTTCAAATCTGCTCTGTCTAAAGGAAGGTTCAACTCTGTGAGTTGAATACACACCACAAAAAGAAGTTACTGAGAATTCTTCTGTCTAGCATTATATGAAAAATCCCGTTTCCAACGAAGGCCACAAAGAGGTCCAAATATCCACTTGCAGATTCTGCAAAAAGAGTGTTTCCAAACTGCTCTATGAAAAGAAACGTTAAACTCTGTGAGTTGAACGCAAACATCACAAAGTAGTTTCTGAGAATGACTCCGTCTAGTTTTTATACGAAGATATTTCCTTTCCTACCATTCACTTCAAAGCGCTTGAAGTCTCCCCCTGAAAATTCCACAAAAAGTGTTTCCAATCTGCTCCGCCTAAAGGAAGCTTCAACTCTGTGACTTGAATACCCACAACCCAAAGAAGTTACTGAGAATTCTTCTGTCTAGCATTATATGAAGAAATCCCGTTTCCAACGAAGGCCTCAAATACATCCAAATATCCAGTTGCTGACTTTACAAACTGAGTGTTTCCAAACTGCTCTATGAAAAGAAAGGTTAAACACTGTGAGTTGAACACACACGTACCAAAGTAGTTTCTGAGAATGATTCTGTCTAGTTTGCATACGAAGATATTTCCTTTTCTACCATTGGCCTCAAAGCTCTGAAATCTCCACTTGCAAATTCCACAAAAAGAGAGTTTCAAATCTGCTGTTTCTAAAGGAAAGTTCAACTCTGAGAGTTGAATACACACCAGAAAAAGCAGTTACTGAGAAGTCTTCTGTCTAGCATTATATGAAGAAATCCCATTTCCAACGAAGACTTCAAAGAGGTCCAAATATCCACTTGCAGATTCTGCAAAAAGAGTGTTTCGAAACAACTGTATGAAAAGAAAGGTTAAACACTGTGAGTTGAACGCACACATTGCAAAGCAGTTTCTGAGAACGATTCCGTCTAATTATTATACGAAGGTATTTCCTTTTCTATCATTGGCCTCAAAGCGCTTGATACCTCCACCTGAAAATTCCACAAAAAGAGTGTTTCCAATCTACTCTGTCTAAAGGAACGTTCAACTCTGTGAGTTGAATACACACACACAGAAAGAATTCACTGAGAATTCTTCTGTCTGGCATTACATGAAGAAATCCCGTTTCCAACGAAGGCCTCAAAGAGGTCCAAATATCCACTTGCAGATTCTGCAAAAAGAGTGTTTCAAAACCGCTCCATTAAAAGGAATGTTGAACTCTGTGAGTTGAATGCAAACATCACAACTCAGTTGCTGAGAATGCTTCTGACTAGATTTTATGGTAAGATATTTCCTTTTCTACCGTAGGCTTCAATGCCCTCTAAATACACCCTTGCAAATTCTACAAAGAGACTGTTTCATAACTGCTCTATAGGAAGAAAGGTTGAACTCTGTGAGTTGAATGCAGAGATCACAACGTGGTTTCTGCGAATGATTCTTTGTAGTTTTTACATGAAGATATTTCGTTGTCAACCGTAGGCTTCAAAGCACTCAAAGTATTCACTTGGAACTTTTACAAAACGAGTGTTAGGAAACTGCTCTTTCCAAAGTAAGGTTCAACTCTGTGAGTTGAATGCACACATAACAATCAAGAAGTTTCTGAGAATTCTTCTGTCCTGGTTTATATGAAAAAATCCCGTTTCCAACGAAGGCCTCAAAGACGTTTAAATATCCACTTGCAGACTTCACAAACAGAGGGTTTCCAAACTGCTCTATGAAAAGAAAGGTTAAACTCTGTGAGTTGAACGCACACATCACAAAGTAGCTTCTGAGAATGATACTGTCTAGTTTTTATACGAAGATATTTCCTTTCTACCATTGGCGTCAAAGCGCTAGAATTCTCCACTTGCAAATTCCACAAAAAGAGTGTTTCCAATCTGCTCTGTCTAAAGGAAGGTTCAACTCTGTGAGTTGAATACACACACACAAAGAAGCTACTGAGAATTCTTTTGTCAAGAATTATAAGAAGAAATCCCGTTTCCAACGAAGGCCTCAAAGAGTTCCAAATATCCACTTGCACACTGCACAAACTAAGTCTTTCCAAACTGCTCTATGCAAAGAAATGTTCAACTCTGTGAGTTTAATACACACATCACAAAGCAGTTTCTGAGAATGATACTGTCTAGTTTTTATACGAAGATATTTCCTTTTGTACCATTGGCCTCATACTGCTAGAATTTTCCACTTGCAAATTCCACAAAAAGAGTGTTTCCAATCTGCTCTGTCTAAAGGAAGGTTCAACTCTGTGAGTTGAGTACACACACACACAAAGAAGCTACTGAGAATTCTTTTGTCAAGAATTATAAGAAGAAATCCCGTTTCCAACCAAGGCCCTCAAAGAGTTCCAAATATCCACTTGCACACTGCACAAACTAAGTCTTTCCATACTGCTCTATGCAAAGAAATGTTCAAATCTGTGAGTTTAATACACACATCACAAAGCAGTTTCTGAGAATGATACTGTCTAGTTTTTATACGAAGATATTTCCTTTTGTACCATTGGCCTCATACTGCTAGAATTTTCCACTTGCAAATTCCACAAAAAGAGTGTTTCCAATCCGCTCTGTCTAAAGGAAGGTTCAACTCTCTGATTTGAATACATACATCCCAAAAGAAGTTACTGAGAATTCTTCTGTCTAGCATTATGTGAAGAAATCCCGTTTCCAACGAAAGCCTCAAAGAGGCCCAAATATCCAGTTGCAGCATTTACAAACTGACTGTTTCCAAACTCATCTATGAAAAGAAAGGTTAAACTCTGTGAGTTGAATGCACATATCACAAAGTAGTTCCTGAGAATGATTCTGTCTAGTTTTTATACGAAGATATTTCCTTTTCCACCAATGGCCTCAAAGTGCTTGAAATCTCCCCTTGCAAATTCCACAGACAAGTGTCTCAAATCTGCACTGTCTAAAGGAAGGTTCAACCCTGTGAGTTGAATACACACACACAGAAAAAAATTCACTGAGAATTCTATTGTCTATCATGACACGAAGAAATCCCGTTTACTACGAAGGCCTCAAAGAGGTCCAAATATCCAGCTGCAGACATTACAACCTGAGTGTTTCCAAAGTGCTCTATGAAAAGAAGTGTTAAACACTGTGAGTTCAATGCACACATCCCAAAGCAGTTTCTGAGAATGATTCCGTCTATTTTTTCTACGAAGATATTTCCTTTTCTGCCGTTGGCCTCAAAGCGCTTGAAATCTCCACTTGCAAATTCCACAAAAAGAGAGTTTCAAATCTGCTCTGTCTAAAGGAAGGTTCAACTCTGTGAGTTGAATACACACCACAAAAAGAAGTTACTGAGAATTCTTCTGTCTAGCATTATATGAAAAATCCCGTTTCCAACGAAGGCCACAAAGAGGTCCAAATATCCACTTGCAGATTCTGCAAAAAGAGTGTTTCCAAACTGCTCTATGAAAAGAAACGTTAAACTCTGTGAGTTGAACGCAAACATCACAAAGTAGTTTCTGAGAATGACTCCGTCTAGTTTTTATACGAAGATATTTCCTTTTCTACCATTCACTTCAAAGCGCTTGAAGTCTCCACCTGAAAATTCCACAAAAAGTGTTTCCAATCTGCTCCGCCTAAAGGAAGCTTCAACTCTGTGAGTTGAATACCCACAACCCAAAGAAGTTACTGAGAATTCTTCTGTCTAGCATTATATGAAGAAATCCCGTTTCCAACGAAGGCCTCAAATACATCCAAATATCCAGTTGCTGACTTTACAAACTGAGTGTTTCCAAACTGCTCTATGAAAAGAAAGGTTAAACACTGTGAGTTGAACACACACGTACCAAAGTAGTTTCTGAGAATGATTCTGTCTAGTTTGCATACGAAGATATTTCCTTTTCTACCATTGGCCTCAAAGCTCTGAAATCTCCACTTGCAAATTCCACAAAAAGAGAGTTTCAAATCTGCTGTTTCTAAAGGAAAGTTCAACTCTGAGAGTTGAATACACACCAGAAAAAGCAGTTACTGAGAAGTCTTCTGTCTAGCATTATATGAAGAAATCCCATTTCCAACGAAGACTTCAAAGAGGTCCAAATATCCACTTGCAGATTCTGCAAAAAGAGTGTTTCGAAACAACTGTATGAAAAGAAAGGTTAAACACTGTGAGTTGAACGCACACATTGCAAAGCGGTTTCTGAGAATGATTCCGTCTAATTATTATACGAAGGTATTTCCTTTTCTATCATTGGCCTCAAAGCGCTTGATACCTCCACCTGAAAATTCCACAAAAAGAGTGTTTCCAATCTACTCTGTCTAAAGGAACGTTCAACTCTGTGAGTTGAATACACACACACAGAAAGAATTCACTGAGAATTCTTCTGTCTGGCATTACATGAAGAAATCCCGTTTCCAACGAAGGCCTCAAAGAGGTCCAAATATCCACTTGCAGATTCTGCAAAAAGAGTGTTTCAAAACCGCTCCATTAAAAGGAATGTTGAACTCTGTGAGTTGAATGCAAACATCACAACTCAGTTTCTGAGAATGCTTCTGACTAGATTTTATGGTAAGATATTTCCTTTTCTACCGTAGGCTTCAATGCCCTCTAAATACACCCTTGCAAATTCTACAAAGAGACTGCTTCATAACTGCTCTATAGGAGGAAAGGTTCAACTCTGTGAGTTGAATGCAGAGATCACAACGTGGTTTCTGCGAATGATTCTTTGTAGTTTTTACATGAAGATATTTCGTTGTCTACCGTAGGCTTCAAAGCACTCAAAGTATTCACTTGGAACTTTCACAAAAAGAGTGTTAGAAAACTGCTCTTTCCAAAGTAAGGTTCAACTCTGTGAGTTGAATGCACACATAACAAACAAGAAGTTTCTGAGAATTCTTCTGTCCTGGTTTATATGAAGAAATCCCGTTTCCAACGAAGGCCTCAAAGACGTTTAAATATCCACTTGCAGACTTCACAAACAGAGTGTTTCCAAACTGCTCTATGAAAAGAAAGGGTAAACACTGTGAGTTGAACGCACACATCACAAAGTAGTTTCTGAGAATGATACTGTCTAGTTTTTATACGAAGATATTTCCTTTTGTACCACTGGCCTCATACTGCTAGAATTTTCCACTTGCAAATTCCACAAAAAGAGTGTTTCCAATCCGCTCTGTCTAAAGGAAGGTTCAACTCTGTGAGTTGAGTACACACACACAAAGAAGCTACTGAGAATTCTTCTGTCTAGCATTATGTGAAGAAATCCCGTTTCCAACGAAAGCCTCAAAGCGGTCCAAATATCCAGTTGCAGAATTTACAAACTGACTGTTTCCAAACTCATCTATGAAAAGAAAGGTTAAACTCTGGGAGTTGAATGCACATATCACAAAGTAGTTCCTGAGAATGATTCTGTCTAGTTTTCATACGAAGATATTTCCTTTTCCACCAATGGCCTCAAAGTGCTTGAAATCTCCCCTTGCAAATTCCACAGACAAGTGTCTCAAATCTGCACTGTCTAAAGGAAGGTTCAACCCTGTGAGTTGAATACACACACACAGAAAAAAATTCACTGAGAATTCTATTGTCTATCATTACACGAAGAAATCCCGTTTACTACGAAGGCCTCAAAGAGGTCCAAATATCCAGCTGCAGACATTACAACCTGAGTGTTTCCAAAGTGCTCTATGAAAAGAAGTGTTAAACACTGTGAGTTCAATGCACACATCCCAAAGCAGTTTCTGAGAATGATGCCGTCTATTTTTTCTACGAAGATATTTCCTTTTCTGCCGTTGGCCTCAAAGCGCTTGAAATCTCCACTTGCAAATTCCACAAAAAGAGAGTTTCAAATCTGCTCTGTCTAAAGGAAGGTTCAACTCTGTGAGTTGAATACACACCACAAAAAGAAGTTACTGAGAATTCTTCTGTCTAGCATTATATGAAAAATCCCGTTTCCAACGAAGGCCACAAAGAGGTCCAAATATCCACTTGCAGATTCTGCAAAAAGAGTGTTTCCAAACTGCTCTATGAAAAGAAACGTTAAACTCTGTGAGTTGAACGCAAACATCACAAAGTAGTTTCTGAGAATGACTCCGTCTAGTTTTTATACGAAGATATTTCCTTTCCTACCATTCACTTCAAAGCGCTTGAAGTCTCCCCCTGAAAATTCCACAAAAAGTGTTTCCAATCTGCTCCGCCTAAAGGAAGCTTCAACTCTGTGACTTGAATACCCACAACCCAAAGAAGTTACTGAGAATTCTTCTGTCTAGCATTATATGAAGAAATCCCGTTTCCAACGAAGGCCTCAAATACATCCAAATATCCAGTTGCTGACTTTACAAACTGAGTGTTTCCAAACTGCTCTATGAAAAGAAAGGTTAAACACTGTGAGTTGAACACACACGTACCAAAGTAGTTTCTGAGAATGATTCTGTCTAGTTTGCATACGAAGATATTTCCTTTTCTACCATTGGCCTCAAAGCTCTGAAATCTCCACTTGCAAATTCCACAAAAAGAGAGTTTCAAATCTGCTGTTTCTAAAGGAAAGTTCAACTCTGAGAGTTGAATACACACCAGAAAAAGCAGTTACTGAGAAGTCTTCTGTCTAGCATTATATGAAGAAATCCCATTTCCAACGAAGACTTCAAAGAGGTCCAAATATCCACTTGCAGATTCTGCAAAAAGAGTGTTTCGAAACAACTGTATGAAAAGAAAGGTTAAACACTGTGAGTTGAACGCACACATTGCAAAGCGGTTTCTGAGAATGATTCCGTCTAATTATTATACGAAGGTATTTCCTTTTCTATCATTGGCCTCAAAGCGCTTGATACCTCCACCTGAAAATTCCACAAAAAGAGTGTTTCCAATCTACTCTGTCTAAAGGAACGTTCAACTCTGTGAGTTGAATACACACACACAGAAAGAATTCACTGAGAATTCTTCTGTCTGGCATTACATGAAGAAATCCCGTTTCCAACGAAGGCCTCAAAGAGGTCCAAATATCCACTTGCAGATTCTGCAAAAAGAGTGTTTCAAAACCGCTCCATTAAAAGGAATGTTGAACTCTGTGAGTTGAATGCAAACATCACAACTCAGTTTCTGAGAATGCTTCTGACTAGATTTTATGGTAAGATATTTCCTTTTCTACCGTAGGCTTCAATGCCCTCTAAATACACCCTTGCAAATTCTACAAAGAGACTGTTTCATAACTGCTCTATAGGAAGAAAGGTTCAACTCTGTGAGTTGAATGCAGAGATCACAACGTGGTTTCTGCGAATGATTCTTTGTAGTTTTTACATGAAGATATTTCGTTGTCAACCGTAGGCTTCAAAGCACTCAAAGTATTCACTTGGAACTTTTACAAAAAGAGTGTTAGAAAACCGCTCTTTCCAAAGTAAGGTTCAACTCTGTGAGTTGAATGCACCCATAACAATCAAGAAGTTTCTGAGAATTCTTCTGTCCTGGTTTATATGAAGAAATCCCGTTTCCAACGAAGGCCTCAAAGACGTTTAAATATCCACTTGCAGACTTCACAAACAGAGGGTTTCCAAACTGCTCTATGAAAAGAAAGGTTAAACTCTGTGAGTTGAACGCACACATCACAAAGTAGCTTCTGAGAATGATACTGTCTAGTTTTTATACGAAGATATTTCCTTTCTACCATTGGCGTCAAAGCGCTAGAATTCTCCACTTGCAAATTCCACAAAAAGAGTGTTTCCAATCTGCTCTGTCTAAAGGAAGGTTCAACTCTGTGAGTTGAATACACACACACAAAGAAGCTACTGAGAATTCTTTTGTCAAGAATTATAAGAAGAAATCCCGTTTCCAACGAAGGCCTCAAAGAGTTCCAAATATCCACTTGCACACTGCACAAACTAAGTCTTTCCAAACTGCTCTATGCAAAGAAATGTTCAACTGCTGTGAGTTTAATACACACATCACAAAGCAGTTTCTGAGAATGATAACTGTCTAGTTTTTATACGAAGATATTTCCTTTTGTACCATTGGCCTCATACTGCTAGAATTTTCCACTTGCAAATTCCACAAAAAGAGTGTTTCCAATCCGCTCTGTCTAAAGGAAGGTTCAACTCTCTGATTTGAATACATACATCCCAAAAGAAGTTACTGAGAATTCTTCTGTCTAGCATTATGTGAAGAAATCCCGTTTCCAACGAAAGCCTCAAAGAGGCCCAAATATCCAGTTGCAGCATTTACAAACTGACTGTTTCCAAACTCATCTATGAAAAGAAAGGTTAAACTCTGTGAGTTGAATGCACATATCACAAAGTAGTTCCTGAGAATGATTCTGTCTAGTTTTTATACGAAGATATTTCCTTTTCCACCAATGGCCTCAAAGTGCTTGAAATCTCCCCTTGCAAATTCCACAGACAAGTGTCTCAAATCTGCACTGTCTAAAGGAAGGTTCAACCCTGTGAGTTGAATACACACACACAGAAAAAAATTCACTGAGAATTCTATTGTCTATCATTACACGAAGAAATCCCGTTTACTACGAAGGCCTCAAAGAGGTCCAAATATCCAGCTGCAGACATTACAAACTGAGTGTTTCCAAAGTGCTCTATGAAAAGAAGTGTTAAACACTGTGAGTTCAATGCACACATCCCAAAGCAGTTTCTGAGACTGATTCCGTCTATTTTTTCTACGAAGATATTTCCTTTTCTACCGTTGGCCTCAAAGCGCTTGAAATCTCCACTTGCAAATTCCACAAAAAGAGAGTTTCAAATCTGCTCTGTCTAAAGGAAGGTTCAACTCTGTGAGTTGAATACACACCACAAAAAGAAGTTACTGAGAATTCTTCTGTCTAGCATTATATGAAAAATCCCGTTTCCAACGAAGGCCACAAAGAGGTCCAAATATCCACTTGCAGATTCTGCAAAAAGAGTGTTTCCAAACTGCTCTATGAAAAGAAACGTTAAACTCTGTGAGTTGAACGCAAACATCACAAAGTAGTTTCTGAGAATGACTCCGTCTAGTTTTTACACGAAGATATTTCCTTTCCTACCATTCACTTCAAAGCGCTTGAAGTCTCCCCATGAAAATTCCACAAAAAGTGTTTCCAATCTGCTCCGCCTAAAGGAAGCTTCAACTCTGTGACTTGAATACCCACAACCCAAAGAAGTTACTGAGAATTCTTCTGTCTAGCATTATATGAAGAAATCCCGTTTCCAACGCAGGCCTCAAATACATCCAAATATCCAGTTGCTGACTTTACAAACTGAGTGTTTCCAAACTGCTCTATGAAAAGAAAGGTTAAACACTGTGAGTTGAACACACACGTACCAAAGTAGTTTCTGAGAATGATTCTGTCTAGTTTGCATACGAAGCATATTTCCTTTTCTACCATTGGCCTCAAAGCTCTGAAATCTCCACTTGCAAATTCCACAAAAAGAGAGTTTCAAATCTGCTGTTTCTAAAGGAAAGTTCAACTCTGAGAGTTGAATACACACCAGAAAAAGCAGTTACTGAGAAGTCTTCTGTCTAGCATTATATGAAGAAATCCCATTTCCAACGAAGACTTCAAAGAGGTCCAAATATCCACTTGCAGATTCTGCAAAAAGAGTGTTTCGAAACAACTGTATGAAAAGAAAGGTTAAACACTGTGAGTTGAACGCACACATTGCAAAGCGGTTTCTGAGAATGATTCCGTCTAATTATTATACGAAGGTATTTCCTTTTCTATCATTGGCCTCAAAGCGCTTGATACCTCCACCTGAAAATTCCACAAAAAGAGTGTTTCCAATCTACTCTGTCTAAAGGAACGTTCAACTCTGTGAGTTGAATACACACACACAGAAAGAATTCACTGAGAATTCTTCTGTCTGGCATTACATGAAGAAATCCCGTTTCCAACGAAGGCCTCAAAGAGGTCCAAATATCCACTTGCAGATTCTGCAAAAAGAGTGTTTCAAAACCGCTCCATTAAAAGGAATGTTGAACTCTGTGAGTTGAATGCAAACATCACAACTCAGTTGCTGAGAATGCTTCTGACTAGATTTTATGGTAAGATATTTCCTTTTATACCGTAGGCTTCAATGCCCTCTAAATACACCCTTGCAAATTCTACAAAGAGACTGTTTCATAACTGCTCTATAGGAAGAAAGGTTCAACTCTGTGAGTTGAATGCAGAGATCACAACGTGGTTTCTGCGAATGATTCTTTGTAGTTTTTACATGAAGATATTTCGTTGTCAACCGTAGGCTTCAAAGCACTCAAAGTACTCACTTGGAACTTTTACAAAAAGAGTGTTAGAAAACTGCTCTTTCCAAAGTAAGGTTCAACTCTGTGAGTTGAATGCACACATAACAATCAAGAAGTTTCTGAGAATTCTTCTGTCCTGGTTTATATGAAAAAATCCCGTTTCCAACGAAGGCCTCAAAGACGTTTAAATATCCACTTGCAGACTTCACAAACAGAGGGTTTCCAAACTGCTCTATGAAAAGAAAGGTTAAACTCTGTGAGTTGAACGCACACATCACAAAGTAGCTTCTGAGAATGATACTGTCCAGTTTTTATACGGAGATATTTCCTTTCCTACCATTGGCGTCAAAGCGCTAGAATTCTCCACTTGCAAATTCCACAAAAAGAGGGTTTCCAATCTGCTCTGCCTAAAGGCAGGTTCAACTCTGTGAGTTGAATACACACACACAAGGAAGCTACTGAGAATTCTTTTGTCAAGAATTATAAGAAGAAATCCCGTTTCCAACCAAGGCCTCAAAGAGTTCCAAATATCCACTTGCACACTGCACAAACTAAGTCTTTCCATACTGCTCTATGCAAAGAAATGTTCAAATCTGTGACTTTAATACACACATCACAAAGCAGTTTCTGAGAATGATACTGTCTAGTTTTTATACGAAGATATTTCCTTTTGTACCATTGGCCTCATACTGCTAGAATTTTCCACTTGCAAATTCCACAAAAAGAGTGTTTCCAATCCGCTCTGTCTAAAGGAAGGTTCAACTCTCTGATTTGAATACATACATCCCAAAAGAAGTTACTGAGAATTCTTCTGTCTAGCATTATGTGAAGAAATCCCGTTTCCAACGAAAGCCTCAAAGAGGCCCAAATATCCAGTTGCAGCATTTACAAACTGACTGTTTCCAAACTCATCTATGAAAAGAAAGGTTAAACTCTGTGAGTTGAATGCACATATCACAAAGTAGTTCCTGAGAATGATTCTGTCTAGTTTTTATACGAAGATATTTCCTTTTCCACCAATGGCCTCAAAGTGCTTGAAATCTCCCCTTGCAAATTCCACAGACAAGTGTCTCAAATCTGCACTGTCTAAAGGAAGGTTCAACCCTGTGAGTTGAATACACACACACAGAAAAAAATTCACTGAGAATTCTATTGTCTATCATTACACGAAGAAATCCCGTTTACTACGAAGGCCTCAAAGAGGTCCAAATATCCAGCTGCAGACATTACAAACTGAGTGTTTCCAAAGTGCTCTATGAAAAGAAGTGTTAAACACTGTGAGTTCAATGCACACATCCCAAAGCAGTTTCTGAGAATGATTCCGTCTATTTTTTCTACGAAGATATTTCCTTTTCTACCGTTGGCCTCAAAGCGCTTGAAATCTCCACTTGCAAATTCCACAAAAAGAGAGTTTCAAATCTGCTCTGTCTAAAGGAAGGTTCAACTCTGTGAGTTGAATACACACCACAAAAAGAAGTTACTGAGAATTCTTCTGTCTAGCATTATATGAAAAATCCCGTTTCCAACGAAGGCCACAAAGAGGTCCAAATATCCACTTGCAGATTCTGCAAAAAGAGTGTTTCCAAACTGCTCTATGAAAAGAAACGTTAAACTCTGTGAGTTGAACACAAACATCACAAAGTAGTTTCTGAGAATGACTCCGTCTAGTTTTTATACGAAGATATTTCCTTTCCTACCATTCACTTCAAAGCGCTTGAAGTCTCCCCCTGAAAATTCCACAAAAAGTGTTTCCAATCTGCTCCGCCTAAAGGAAGCTTCAACTCTGTGACTTGAATACCCACAACCCAAAGAAGTTACTGAGAATTCTTCTGTCTAGCATTATATGAAGAAATCCCGTTTCCAACGAAGGCCTCAAATACATCCAAATATCCAGTTGCTGACTTTACAAACTGAGTGTTTCCAAACTGCTCTATGAAAAGAAAGGTTAAACACTGTGAGTTGAACACACACGTACCAAAGTAGTTTCTGAGAATGATTCTGTCTAGTTTGCATACGAAGATATTTCCTTTTCTACCATTGGCCTCAAAGCTCCGAAATCTCCACTTGCAAATTCCACAAAAAGAGAGTTTCAAATCTGCTGTTTCTAAAGGAAAGTTCAACTCTGAGAGTTGAATACACACCAGAAAAAGCAGTTACTGAGAAGTCTTCTGTCTAGCATTATATGAAGAAATCCCATTTCCAACGAAGACTTCAAAGAGGTCCAAATATCCACTTGCAGATTCTGCAAAAAGAGTGTTTCGAAACAACTGTATGAAAAGAAAGGTTAAACACTGTGAGTTGAACGCACACATTGCAAAGCGGTTTCTGAGAATGATTCCGTCTAATTATTATACGAAGGTATTTCCTTTTCTATCATTGGCCTCAAAGCGCTTGATACCTCCACCTGAAAATTCCACAAAAAGAGTGTTTCCAATCTACTCTGTCTAAAGGAACGTTCAACTCTGTGAGTTGAATACACACACACAGAAAGAATTCACTGAGAATTCTTCTGTCTGGCATTACATGAAGAAATCCCGTTTCCAACGAAGGCCTCAAAGAGGTCCAAATATCCACTTGCAGATTCTGCAAAAAGAGTGTTTCAAAACCGCTCCATTAAAAGGAATGTTGAACTCTGTGAGTTGAGTGCAAACATCACAACTCAGTTGCTGAGAATGCTTCTGACTAGATTTTATGGTAAGATATTTCCTTTTCTACCGTAGGCTTCAATGCCCTCTAAATACACCCTTGCAAATTCTACAAAGAGACTGTTTCATAACTGCTCTATAGGAAGAAAGGTTGAACTCTGTGAGTTGAATGCAGAGATCACAACGTGGTTTCTGCGAATGATTCTTTGTAGTTTTTACATGAAGATATTTCGTTGTCAACCGTAGGCTTCAAAGCACTCAAAGTATTCACTTGGAACTTTTACAAAAAGAGTGTTAGAAAACTGCTCTTTCCAAAGTAAGGTTCAACTCTGTGAGTTGAATGCACACATAACAATCAAGAAGTTTCTGAGAATTCTTCTGTCCTGGTTTATATGAAAAAATCCCGTTTCCAACGAAGGCCTCAAAGACGTTTAAATATCCACTTGCAGACTTCACAAACAGAGGGTTTCCAAACTGCATTATGAAAAGAAAGGTTAAACTCTGTGAGTTGAACACACACATCACAAAGTAGCTTCTGAGAATGATACTGTCTAGTTTTTATACGAAGATATTTCCTTTCTACCATTGGCGTCAAAGCGCTAGAATTCTCCACTTGCAAATTCCACAAAAAGAGTGTTTCCAATCTGCTCTGTCTAAAGGAAGGTTCAACTCTGTGAGTTGAATACACACACACAAAGAAGCTACTGAGAATTCTTTTGTCAAGAATTATAAGAAGAAATCCCGTTTCCAACGAAGGCCTCAAAGAGTTCCAAATATCCACTTGCACACTGCACAAACTAAGTCTTTCCAAACTGCTCTATGCAAAGAAATGTTCAACTCTGTGAGTTTAATACACACATCACAAAGCAGTTTCTGAGAATGATACTGTCTAGTTTTTATACGAAGATATTTCCTTTTGTACCATTGGCCTCATACTGCTAGAATTTTCCACTTGCAAATTCCACAAAAAGAGTGTTTCCAATCCGCTCTGTCTAAAGGAAGGTTCAACTCTCTGATTTGAATACATACATCCCAAAAGAAGTTACTGAGAATTCTTCTGTCTAGCATTATGTGAAGAAATCCCGTTTCCAACGAACGCCTCAAAGAGGTCCTAATATCCAGTTGCAGAATTTACAAACTGACTGTTTCCAAACTCATCTATGAAAAGAAAGGTTAAACCCTGTGAGTTGAATGCACAGTATCACAAAGTAGTTCCTGAGAATGATTCTGTCTAGTTTTTATACGAAGATATTTCCTTTTCCACCAATGGCCTCAAAGTGCTTGAAATCTCCCCTTGCAAATTCCACAGACAAGTGTTTCAAATCTGCACTGTCTAAAGGAAGGTTCAACCCTGTGAGTTGAATACACACACACAGGAAAAAATTCACTGAGAATTCTATTGTCTATCATTACACGAAGAAATCCCGTTTACTACGAAGGCCTCAAAGAGGTCCAAATATCCAGCTGCAGACATTACAAACTGAGTGTTTCCAAAGTGCTCTATGAAAAGAAGTGTTAAACACTGTGAGTTCAATGCACACATCCCAAAGCAGTTTCTGAGAATGATTCCGTCTATTTTTTCTACGAAGATATTTCCTTTTCTGCCGTTGGCCTCAAAGCGCTTGAAATCTCCACTTGCAAATTCCACAAAAAGAGAGTTTCAAATCTGCTCTGTCTAAAGGAAGGTTCAACTCTGTGAGTTGAATACACACCACAAAAAGAAGTTACTGAGAATTCTTCTGTCTAGCATTATATGAAAAATCCCGTTTCCAACGAAGGCCACAAAGAGGTCCAAATATCCACTTGCAGATTCTGCAAAAAGAGTGTTTCCAAACTGCTCTATGAAAAGAAACGTTAAACTCTGTGAGTTGAACGCAAACATCACAAAGTAGTTTCTGAGAATGACTCCGTCTAGTTTTTATACGAAGATATTTCCTTTCCTACCATTCACTTCAAAGCGCTTGAAGTCTCCCCCTGAAAATTCCACAAAAAGTGTTTCCAATCTGCTCCGCCTAAAGGAAGCTTCAACTCTGTGACTTGAATACCCACAACCCAAAGAAGTTACTGAGAATTCTTCTGTCTAGCATTATATGAAGAAATCCCGTTTCCAACGAAGGCCTCAAATACATCCAAGTATCCAGTTGCTGACTTTACAAACTGAGTGTTTCCAAACTGCTCTATGAAAAGAAAGGTTAAACACTGTGAGTTGAACACACACGTACCAAAGTAGTTTCTGAGAATGATTCTGTCTAGTTTGCATACGAAGATATTTCCTTTTCTACCATTGGCCTCAAAGCTCTGAAATCTCCACTTGCAAATTCCACAAAAAGAGAGTTTCAACTCTGCTGTTTCTAAAGGAAAGTTCAACTCTGAGAGTTGAATACACACCAGAAAAAGCAGTTACTGAGAAGTCTTCTGTCTAGCATTATATGAAGAAATCCCATTTCCAACGAAGACTTCAAAGAGGTCCAAATATCCACTTGCAGATTCTGCAAAAAGAGTGTTTCGAAACAACTGTATGAAAAGAAAGGTTAAACACTGTGAGTTGAACGCACACATTGCAAAGCAGTTTCTGAGAATGATTCCGTCTAATTATTATACGAAGGTATTTCCTTTTCTATCATTGGCCTCAAAGCGCTTGATACCTCCACCTGAAAATTCCACAAAAAGAGTGTTTCCAATCTACTCTGTCTAAAGGAACGTTCAACTCTGTGAGTTGAATACACACACACAGAAAGAATTCACTGAGAGTTCTTCTGTCTGGCATTACATGAAGAAATCCCGTTTCCAACGAAGGCCTCAAAGGAGGTCCAAATATCCACTTGCAGATTCTGCAAAAAGAGTGTTTCAAAACCGCTCCATTAAAAGGAATGTTGAACTCTGTGAGTTGAATGCAAACATCACAACTCAGTTGCTGAGAATGCTTCTGACTAGATTTTATGGTAAGATATTTCCTTTTCTACCGTAGGCTTCAATGCCCTCTAAATACACCCTTGCAAATTCTACAAAGAGACTGTTTCATAACTGCTCTATAGGAAGAAAGGTTCAACACTGTGAGTTGAATGCAGAGATCACAACGTGGTTTCTGCGAATGATTCTTTGTAGTTTTTACATGAAGATATTTCGTTGTCAACCGTAGGCTTCAAAGCACTCAAAGTATTCACTTGGAACTTTTACAAAAAGAGTGTTAGAAAACTGCTCTTTCCAAAGTAAGGTTCAACTCTGTGAGTTGAATGCACACATAACAATCAAGAAGTTTCTGAGAATTCTTCTGTCCTGGTTTATATGAAAAAATCCCGTTTCCAACGAAGGCCTCAAAGACGTTTAAATATCCACTTGCAGACTTCACAAACAGAGGGTTTCCAAACTGCTCTATGAAAAGAAAGGTTAAACTCTGTGAGTTTAATACACACATCACAAAGCAGTTTCTGAGAATGATACTGTCTAGTTTTTATACGAAGATATTTCCTTTTGTACCATTGGCCTCATACTGCTAGAATTTTCCACTTGCAAATTCCACAAAAAGAGTGTTTCCAATCCGCTCTGTCTAAAGGAAGGTTCAACTCTCTGATTTGAATACATACATCCCAAAAGAAGTTACTGAGAATTCTTCTGTCTAGCATTATGTGAAGAAATCCCGTTTCCAACGAAAGCCTCAAAGAGGTCCAAATATCCAGTTGCAGAATTTACAAACTGACTGTTTCCAAACTCATCTATGAAAAGAAAGGTTAAACTCTGTGAGTTGAATGCACATATCACAAAGTAGTTCCTGAGAATGATTCTGTCTAGTTTTCATACGAAGATATTTCCTTTTCCACCAATGGCCTCAAAGTGCTTGAAATCTCCCCTTGCAAATTCCACAGACAAGTGTCTCAAATCTGCACTGTCTAAAGGAAGGTTCAACCCTGTGAGTTGAATACACACACACAGAAAAAAATTCACTGAGAATTCTATTGTCTATCATTACACGAAGAAATCCCGTTTACTACGAAGGCCTCAAAGAGGTCCAAATATCCAGCTGCAGACATTACAACCTGAGTGTTTCCAAAGTGCTCTATGAAAAGAAGTGTTAAACACTGTGAGTTCAATGCACACATCCCAAAGCAGTTTCTGAGAATGATGCCGTCTATTTTTTCTACGAAGATATTTCCTTTTCTGCCGTTGGCCTCAAAGCGCTTGAAATCTCCACTTGCAAATTCCACAAAAAGAGAGTTTCAAATCTGCTCTGTCTAAAGGAAGGTTCAACTCTGTGAGTTGAATACACACCACAAAAAGAAGTTACTGAGAATTCTTCTGTCTAGCATTATATGAAAAATCCCGTTTGCAACGAAGGCCACAAAGAAGTCCAAATATCCACTTGCAGATTCTGCAAAAAGAGTGTTTCCAAACTGCTCTATGAAAAGAAACGTTAAACTCTGTGAGTTGAACGCAAACATCACAAAGTAGTTTCTGAGAATGACTCCGTCTAGTTTTTATACGAAGATATTTCCTTTCCTACCATTCACTTCAAAGCGCTTGAAGTCTCCCCCTGAAAATTCCACAAAAAGTGTTTCCAATCTGCTCCGCCTAAAGGAAGCTTCAACTCTGTGACTTGAATACCCACAACCCAAAGAAGTTACTGAGAATTCTTCTGTCTAGCATTATATGAAGAAATCCCGTTTCCAACGAAGGCCTCAAATACATCCAAATATCCAGTTGCTGACTTTACAAACTGAGTGTTTCCAAACTGCTCTATGAAAAGAAAGGTTAAACACTGTGAGTTGAACACACACGTACCAAAGTAGTTTCTGAGAATGATTCTGTCTAGTTTGCATACGAAGATATTTCCTTTTCTACCATTGGCCTCAAAGCTCTGAAATCTCCACTTGCAAATTCCACAAAAAGAGAGTTTCAAATCTGCTGTTTCTAAAGGAAAGTTCAACTCTGAGAGTTGAATACACACCAGAAAAAGCAGTTACTGAGAAGTCTTCTGTCTAGCATTATATGAAGAAATCCCATTTCCAACGAAGACTTCAAAGAGGTCCAAATATCCACTTGCAGATTCTGCAAAAAGAGTGTTTCGAAACAACTGTATGAAAAGAAAGGTTAAACACTGTGAGTTGAACGCACACATTGCAAAGCAGTTTCTGAGAATGATTCCGTCTAATTATTATACGAAGGTATTTCCTTTTCTATCATTGGCCTCAAAGCGCTTGATACCTCCACCTGAAAATTCCACAAAAAGAGTGTTTCCAATCTACTCTGTCTAAAGGAACGTTCAACTCTGTGAGTTGAATACACACACACAGAAAGAATTCACTGAGAATTCTTCTGTCTGGCATTACATGAAGAAATCCCGTTTCCAACGAAGGCCTCAAAGAGGTCCAAATATCCACTTGCAGATTCTGCAAAAAGAGTGTTTCAAAACCGCTCCATTAAAAGGAATGTTGAACTCTGTGAGTTGAATGCAAACATCACAACTCAGTTTCTGAGAATGCTTCTGACTAGATTTTATGGTAAGATATTTCCTTTTCTACCGTAGGCTTCAATGCCCTCTAAATACACCCTTGCAAATTCTACAAAGAGACTGTTTCATAACTGCTCTATAGGAAGAAAGGTTCAACTCTGTGAGTTGAATGCAGAGATCACAACGTGGTTTCTGCGAATGATTCTTTGTAGTTTTTACAGGAAGATATTTCATTGTCAACCGTAGGCTTCAAAGCACTCAAAGTATTCACTTGGAACTTTTACAAAAAGAGTGTTAGAAAACTGCTCTTTCCAAAGTAAGGTTCAACTCTGTGAGTTGAATGCACACATAAGAATGAAGAAGTTTCTGAGAATTCTTCTGTCCTGGTTTATATGAAAAAATCCCGTTTCCAACGAAGGCCTCAGAGACGTTTAAATATCCACTTGCAGACTTCACAAACAGAGTGTTTCCAAACTGCTCTATGAAAAGAAAGGTTAAACTCTGTGAGTTGAACGCACACATCACAAAGTTGTTTCTGAGAATGATACTGTCTAGTTTTTATACGAAGATATTTCCTTTCTACCATTGGCGTCAAAGCGTTAGAATTCTCCACTTGCAAATTCCACAAAAAGAGTGTTTCCAATCTGCTCTGTCTAAAGGAAGGTTCAACTCTGTGAGTTGAATACACACACACAAAGAAGCTACTGAGAATTCTTTTGTCAAGAATTATAAGAAGAAATCCCGTTTCCAACGAAGGCCTCAAAGAGTTCCAAATATCCACTTGCACACTGCAAAAACTAAGTCTTTCCAAACTGCTCTATGCAAAGAAATGTTCAACTCTGTGAGTTTAATTCACACATCACAAAGCAGTTTCTGAGAATGATACTGTCTAGTTTTTATACGAAGATATTTCCTTTTGTACCATTGGCCTCATACTGCTAGAATTTTCCACTTGCAAATTCCACAAAAAGAGTGTTTCCAATCCGCTCTGTCTAAAGGAAGGTTCAACTCTCTGATTTGAATACATACATCCCAAAAGAAGTTACTGAGAATTCTTCTGTCTAGCATTATGTGAAGAAATCCCGTTTCCAACGAAAGCCTCAAAGAGGTCCAAATATCCAGTTGCAGAATTTACAAACTGACTGTTTCCAAACTCATCTATGAAAAGAAAGGTTAAACTCTGGGAGTTGAATGCCCATATCACAAAGTAGTTCCTGAGAATGATTCTGTATAGTTTTCATACGAAGATATTTCCTTTTCCACCAATGGCCTCAAAGTGCTTGAAATCTCCCCTTGCAAATTCCACAGACAAGTGTTTCAAATCTGCACTGTCTAAAGGATGGTTCAACCCTGTGAGTTGAATACACACACACAGAAAAAAATTCACTGAGAATTCTATTGTCTATCATTACACGAAGAAATCCCGTTTACTACGAAGGCCTCAAAGAGGTCCAAATATCCAGCTGCAGACATTATAAACTGAGTGTTTCCAAAGTGCTCTATGAAAAGAAGTGTTAAACACTGTGAGTTCAATGCACACATCCCAAAGCAGTTTCTGAGAATGATTCCGTCTATTTTTTCTACGAAGATATTTCCTTTTCTGCCGTTGGCCTCAAAGCGCTTGAAATCTCCACTTGCAAATTCCACAAAAAGAGAGTTTCAAATCTGCTCTGTCTAAAGGAAGGTTCAACTCTGTGAGTTGAATACACACCACAAAAAGAAGTTACTGAGAATTCTTCTGTCTAGCATTATATGAAAAATCCCGTTTCCAACGAAGGCCACAAAGAGGTCCAAATATCCACTTGCAGATTCTGCAAAAAGAGTGTTTCCAAACTGCTCTATGAAAAGAAACGTTAAACTCTGTGAGTTGAACGCAAACATCACAAAGTAGTTTCTGAGAATGACTCCGTCTAGTTTTTATACGAAGATATTTCCTTTCCTACCATTCACTTCAAAGCGCTTGAAGTCTCCCCCTGAAAATTCCACAAAAAGTGTTTCCAATCTGCTCCGCCTAAAGGAAGCTTCAACTCTGTGACTTGAATACCCACAACCCAAAGAAGTTACTGAGAATTCTTCTGTCTAGCATTATATGAAGAAATCCCGTTTCCAACGAAGGCCTCAAATACATCCAAATATCCAGTTGCTGACTTTGCAAACTGAGTGTTTCCAAACTGCTCTATGAAAAGAAAGGTTAAACACTGTGAGTTGAACACACACGTACCAAAGTAGTTTCTGAGAATGATTCTGTCTAGTTTGCATACGAAGATATTTCCTTTTCTACCATTGGCCTCAAAGCTCTGAAATCTCCACTTGCAAATTCCACAAAAAGAGAGTTTCAAATCTGCTGTTTCTAAAGGAAAGTTCAACTCTGAGAGTTGAATACACACCAGAAAAAGCAGTTACTGAGAAGTCTTCTGTCTAGCATTATATGAAGAAATCCCATTTCCAACGAAGACTTCAAAGAGGTCCAAATATCCACTTGCAGATTCTGCAAAAAGAGTGTTTCGAAACAACTGTATGAAAAGAAAGGTTAAACACTGTGAGTTGAACGCACACATTGCAAAGCGGTTTCTGAGAATGATTCCGTCTAATTATTATACGAAGGTATTTCCTTTTCTATCATTGGCCTCAAAGCGCTTGATACCTCCACCTGAAAATTCCACAAAAAGAGTGTTTCCAATCTACTCTGTCTAAAGGAACGTTCAACTCTGTGAGTTGAATACACACACACAGAAAGAATTCACTGAGAATTCTTCTGTCTGGCATTACATGAAGAAATCCCGTTTCCAACGAAGGCCTCAAAGAGGTCCAAATATCCACTTGCAGATTCTGCAAAAAGAGTGTTTCAAAACCGCTCCATTAAAAGGAATGTTGAACTCTGTGAGTTGAATGGAAACATCACAACTCAGTTGCTGAGAATGCTTCTGACTAGATTTTATGGTAAGATATTTCCTTTTCTACCGTAGGCTTCAATGCCCTCTAAATACACCCTTGCAAATTCTACAAAGAGACTGTTTCATAACTGCTCTATAGGAAGAAAGGTTCAACTCTGTGAGTTGAATGCAGAGATCACAACGTGGTTTCTGCGAATGATTCTTTGTAGTTTTTACAGGAAGATATTTCGTTGTCAACCGTAGGCTTCAAAGCACTCAAAGTATTCACTTGGAACTTTTACAAAAAGAGTGTTAGAAAACTGCTCTTTCCAAAGTAAGGTTCAACTCTGTGAGTTGAATGCACACATAACAATCAAGAAGTTTCTGAGAATTCTTCTGTCCTGGTTTATATGAAAAAATCCCGTTTCCAACGAAGGCCTCAGAGACGTTTAAATATCCACTTGCAGACTTCACAAACAGAGTGTTTCCAAACTGCTCTATGAAAAGAAAGGTTAAACTCTGTGAGTTGAACGCACACATCACAAAGTTGTTTCTGAGAAAGATACTGTCTAGTTTTTATACGAAGATATTTCCTTTCTACCATTGGCGTCAAAGCGTTAGAATTCTCCACTTGCAAATTCCACAAAAAGAGTGTTTCCAATCTGCTCTGTCTAAAGGAAGGTTCAACTCTGTGAGTTGAATACACACACACAAAGAAGCTACTGAGAATTCTTTTGTCAAGAATTATAAGAAGAAATCCCGTTTCCAACGAAGGCCTCAAAGAGTTCCAAATATCCACTTGCACACTGCACAAACTAAGTCTTTCCAAACTGCTCTATGCAAAGAAATGTTCAACTCTGTGAGTTTAATTCACACATCACAAAGCAGTTTCTGAGAATGATACTGTCTAGTTTTTATACGAAGATATTTCCTTTTGTACCATTGGCCTCATACTGCTAGAATTTTCCACTTGCAAATTCCACAAAAAGAGTGTTTCCAATCCGCTCTGTCTAAAGGAAGGTTCAACTCTCTGATTTGAATACATACATCCCAAAAGAAGTTACTGAGAATTCTTCTGTCTAGCATTATGTGAAGAAATCCCGTTTCCAACGAAAGCCTCAAAGAGGTCCAAATATCCAGTTGTAGAATTTACAAACTGACTGTTTCCAAACTCATCTATGAAAAGAAAGGTTAAACTCTGTGAGTTGAATGCCCATATCACAAAGTAGTTCCTGAGAATGATTCTGTCTAGTTTTCATACGAAGATATTTCCTTTTCCACCAATGGCCTCAAAGTGCTTGAAATCTCCCCTTGCAAATTCCACAGACAAGTGTTTCAAATCTGCACTGTCTAAAGGATGGTTCAACCCTGTGAGTTGAATACACACACACAGAAAAAAATTCACTGAGAATTGCTATTGTCTATCATTACACGAAGAAATCCCGTTTACTACGAAGGCCTCAAAGAGGTCCAAATATCCAGCTGCAGACATTATAAACTGAGTGTTTCCAAAGTGCTCTATGAAAAGAAGTGTTAAACACTGTGAGTTCAATGCACACATCCCAAAGCAGTTTCTGAGAATGATTCCGTCTATTTTTTCTACGAAGATATTTCCTTTTCTGCCGTTGGCCTCAAAGCGCTTGAAATCTCCACTTGCAAATTCCACAAAAAGAGAGTTTCAAATCTGCTCTGTCTAAAGGAAGGTTCAACTCTGTGAGTTGAATACACACCACAAAAAGAAGTTACTGAGAATTCTTCTGTCTAGCATTATATGAAAAATCCCGTTTCCAACGAAGGCCACAAAGAGGTCCAAATATCCACTTGCAGATTCTGCAAAAAGAGTGTTTCCAAACTGCTCTATGAAAAGAAACGTTAAACTCTGTGAGTTGAACGCAAACATCACAAAGTAGTTTCTGAGAATGACTCCGTCTAGTTTTTATACGAAGATATTTCCTTTCCTACCATTCACTTCAAAGCGCTTGAAGTCTCCCCCTGAAAATTCCACAAAAAGTGTTTCCAATCTGCTCCGCCTAAAGGAAGCTTCAACTCTGTGAGTTGAATACCCACAACCCAAAGAAGTTACTGAGAATTCTTCTGTCTAGCATTATATGAAGAAATCCCGTTTCCAACGAAGGCCTCAAATACATCCAAATATCCAGTTGCTGACTTTACAAACTGAGTGTTTCCAAACTGCTCTATGAAAAGAAAGGTTAAACACTGTGAGTTGAACACACACGTACCAAAGTAGTTTCTGAGAATGATTCTGTCTAGTTTGCATACGAAGATATTTCCTTTTCTACCATTGGCCTCAAAGCTCTGAAATCTCCACTTGCAAATTCCACAAAAAGAGAGTTTCAAATCTGCTGTTTCTAAAGGAAAGTTCAACTCTGAGAGTAGAATACACACCAGAAAAAGCAGTTACTGAGAAGTCTTCTGTCTAGCATTATATGAAGAAATCCCATTTCCAACGAAGACTTCAAAGAGGTCCAAATATCCACTTGCAGATTCTGCAAAAAGAGTGTTTCGAAACAACTGTATGAAAAGAAAGGTTAAACACTGTGAGTTGAACGCACACATTGCAAAGCAGTTTCTGAGAATGATTCCGTCTAATTATTATACGAAGGTATTTCCTTTTCTATCATTGGCCTCAAAGCGCTTGATACCTCCACCTGAAAATTCCACAAAAAGAGTGTTTCCAATCTACTCTGTCTAAAGGAACGTTCAACTCTGTGAGTTGAATACACACACACAGAAAGAATTCACTGAGAATTCTTCTGTCTGGCATTACATGAAGAAATCCCGTTTCCAACGAAGGCCTCAAAGAGGTCCAAATATCCACTTGCAGATTCTGCAAAAAGAGTGTTTCAAAACCGCTCCATTAAAAGGAATGTTGAACTCTGTGAGTTGAATGCAAACATCACAACTCAGTTTCTGAGAATGCTTCTGACTAGATTTTATGGTAAGATATTTCCTTTTCTACCGTAGGCTTCAATGCCCTCTAAATACACCCTTGCAAATTCTACAAAGAGACTGTTTCATAACTGCTCTATAGGAAGAAAGGTTCAACACTGTGAGTTGAATGCAGAGATCACAACGTGGTTTCTGCGAATGATTCTTTGTAGTTTTTACATGAAGATATTTCGTTGTCAACCGTAGGCTTCAAAGCACTCAAAGTATTCACTTGGAACTTTTACAAAAAGAGTGTTAGAAAACTGCTCTTTCCAAAGTAAGGTTCAACTCTGTGAGTTGAATGCACACATAACAATCAAGAAGTTTCTGAGAATTCTTCTGTCCTGGTTTATATGAAAAAATCCCGTTTCCAACGAAGGCCTCAAAGACGTTTAAATATCCACTTGCAGACTTCACAAACAGAGGGTTTCCAAACTGCTCTATGAAAAGAAAGGTTAAACTCTGTGAGTTTAATACACACATCACAAAGCAGTTTCTGAGAATGATACTGTCTAGTTTTTATACGAAGATATTTCCTTTTGTACCATTGGCCTCATACTGCTAGAATTTTCCACTTGCAAATTCCACAAAAAGAGTGTTTCCAATCCGCTCTGTCTAAAGGAAGGTTCAACTCTCTGATTTGAATACATACATCCCAAAAGAAGTTACTGAGAATTCTTCTGTCTAGCATTATGTGAAGAAATCCCGTTTCCAACGAAAGCCTCAAAGAGGTCCAAATATCCAGTTGCAGAATTTACAAACTGACTGTTTCCAAACTCATCTATGAAAAGAAAGGTTAAACTCTGGGAGTTGAATGCACATATCACAAAGTAGTTCCTGAGAATGATTCTGTCTAGTTTTTATACGAAGATATTTCCTTTTCCACCAATGGCCTCAAAGTGCTTGAAATCTCCCCTTGCAAATTCCACAGACAAGTGTTTCAAATCTGCACTGTCTAAAGGAAGGTTCAACCCTGTGAGTTGAATACACACACACAGAAAAAAATTCACTGAGAATTCTATTGTCTATCATTACACGAAGAAATCCCGATTACTACGAAGGCCTCAAAGAGGTCCAAATATCCAGCTGCAGACATGACAAACTGAGTGTTTCCAAAGTGCTCTATGAAAAGAAGTGTTAAACACTGTGAGTTCAATGCACACATCCCAAAGCAGTTTCTGAGAATGATTCCGTCTATTTTTTCTACGCAGATATTTCCTTTCCTACCGTTGGCCTCAAAGCGCTTGAAATCTCCACTTGCAAATTCCACAAAAAGAGAGTTTCAAATCTGCTCTGTCTAAAGGAAGGTTCAACTCTGTGAGTTGAATACACACCACAAAAAGAAGTTACTGAGAATTCTTCTGTCTAGCATTATATGAAAAATCCCGTTTCCAACGAAGGCCACAAAGAGGTCCAAATATCCACTTGCAGATTCTGCAAAAAGAGTGTTTCCAAACTGCTCTATGAAAAGAAACGTTAAACTCTGTGAGTTGAACGCAAACATCACAAAGTAGTTTCTGAGAATGACTCCGTCTAGTTTTTATACGAAGATATTTCCTTTCCTACCATTCACTTCAAAGCGCTTGAAGTCTCCCCCTGAAAATTCCACAAAAAGTGTTTCCAATCTGCTCCGCCTAAAGGAAGCTTCAACTCTGTGAGTTGAATACCCACAACCCAAAGAAGTTACTGAGAATTCTTCTGTCTAGCATTATATGAAGAAATCCCGTTTCCAACGAAGGCCTCAAATACATCCAAATATCCAGTTGCTGACTTTACAAACTGAGTGTTTCCAAACTGCTCTATGAAAAGAAAGGTTAAACACTGTGAGTTGAACACACACGTACCAAAGTAGTTTCTGAGAATGATTCTGTCTAGTTTGCATACGAAGATATTTCCTTTTCTACCAGTGGCCTCAAAGCTCTGAAATCTCCACTTGCAAATTCCACAAAAAGAGAGTTTCAAATCTGCTGTTTCTAAAGGAAAGTTCAACTCGGAGAGTTGAATACACACCAGAAAAAGCAGTTACTGAGAAGTCTTCTGTCTAGCATTATATGAAGAAATCCCATTTCCAACGAAGACTTCAAAGAGGTCCAAATATCCACTTGCAGATTCTGCAAAAAGAGTGTTTCGAAACAACTGTATGAAAAGAAAGGTTAAACACTGTGAGTTGAACGCACACATTGCAAAGCAGTTTCTGAGAATGATTCCGTCTAATTATTATACGAAGGTATTTCCTTTTCTATCATTGGCCTCAAAGCGCTTGATACCTCCACCTGAAAATTCCACAAAAAGAGTGTTTCCAATCTACTCTGTCTAAAGGAACGTTCAACTCTGTGAGTTGAATACACACACACAGAAAGAATTCACTGAGAATTCTTCTGTCTGGCATTACATGAAGAAATCCCGTTTCCAACGAAGGCCTCAAAGAGGTCCAAATATCCACTTGCAGATTCTGCAAAAAGAGTGTTTCAAAACCGCTCCATTAAAAGGAATGTTGAACTCTGTGAGTTGAATGCAAACATCACAACTCAGTTTCTGAGAATGCTTCTGACTAGATTTTATGGTAAGATATTTCCTTTTCTACCGTAGGCTTCAATGCCCTGTAAATACACCCTTGCAAATTCTACAAAGAGACTGCTTCATAACTGCTCTATAGGAGGAAAGGTTCAACTCTGTGAGTTGAATGCAGAGATCACAACGTGGTTTCTGCGAATGATTCTTTGTAGTTTTTACATGAAGATATTTCGTTGTCTACCGTAGGCTTCAAAGCACTCAAAGTATTCACTTGGAACTTTTACAAAAAGAGTGTTAGAAAACTGCTCTTTCCAAAGTAAGGTTCAACTCTGTGAGTTGAATGCACACATAACAAACAAGAAGTTTCTGAGAATTCTTCTGTCCTGGTTTATATGAAGAAATCCCGTTTCCAACGAAGGCCTCAAAGACGTTTAAATATCCACTTGCAGACTTCACAAACAGAGTGTTTCCAAACTGCTCTATGAAAAGAAAGGGTAAACACTGTGAGTTGAACGCACACATCACAAAGTAGTTTCTGAGAATGATTACTGTCTAGTTTTTATACGAAGATATTTCCTTTTGTACCATTGGCCTCATACTGCTAGAATTTTCCACTTGCAAATTCCACAAAAAGAGTGTTTCCAATCTGCTCTGTCTAAAGGAAGGTTCAACTCTGTGAGTTGAGTACACACACACAAAGAAGCTACTGAGAATTCTTTTGTCAAGAATTATAAGAAGAAATCCCGTTTCCAACCAAGGCCTCAAAGAGTTCCAAATATCCACTTGCACACTGCACAAACTAAGTCTTTCCATACTGCTCTATGCAAAGAAATGTTCAACTCTGTGAGTTTAATACACACATCACAAAGCAGTTTCTGAGAATGATACTGTCTAGTTTTTATACGAAGATATTTCCTTTTGTACCATTGGCCTCATACTGCTAGAATTTTCCACTTGCAAATTCCACAAAAAGAGTGTTTCCAATCCGCTCTGTCTAAAGGAAGGTTCAACTCTCTGATTTGAATACATACATCCCAAAAGAAGTTACTGAGAATTCTTCTGTCTAGCATTATGTGAAGAAATCCCGTTTCCAACGAAAGCCTCAAAGAGGCCCAAATATCCAGTTGCAGCATTTACAAACTGACTGTTTCCAAACTCATCTATGAAAAGAAAGGTTAAACTCTGTGAGTTGAATGCACATATCACAAAGTAGTTCCTGAGAATGATTCTGTCTAGTTTTTATACGAAGATATTTCCTTTTCCACCAATGGCCTCAAAGTGCTTGAAATCTCCCCTTGCAAATTCCACAGACAAGTGTCTCAAATCTGCACTGTCTAAAGGAAGGTTCAACCCTGTGAATTGAATACACACACACAGAAAAAAATTCACTGAGAATTCTATTGTCTATCATTACACGAAGAAATCCCGTTTACTACGAAGGCCTCAAAGAGGTCCAAATATCCAGCTGCAGACATTACAAACTGAGTGTTTCCAAAGTGCTCTATGAAAAGAAGTGTTAAACACTGTGAGTTCAATGCACACATCCCAAAGCAGTTTCTGAGAATGATTCCGTCTATTTTTTCTACGAAGATATTTCCTTTTCTACCATTGAACTCAAAGCGCTTGAAATCTCCACTTGCAAATTCCACAAAAAGAGAGTTTCAAATCTGCTCTGTCTAAAGGAAAGTTGAACTCTGTGAGTTGAATACACACCACAAAAAGAAGTTACTGAGAATTCTTCTGTCTAGCATTATATGAAAAATCCCGTTTCCAACGAAGGCCACAAAGAGGTCCAAATATCCACTTGCAGATTCTGCAAAAAGAGTGTTTCCAAACTGCTCTATGAAAAGAAACGTTAAACTCTGTGAGTTGAATGCAAACATCACAAAGTAGTTTCTGAGAATGACTCCGTCTAGTTTTTATACGAAGATATTTCCTTTTCTACCATTCACTTCAAAGCGCTTGAAGTCTCCCCCTGAAAATTCCACAAAAAGTGTTTCCAATCTGCTCCGCCTAAAGGAAGCTTCAACTCTGTGAGTTGAATACCCACAACCCTAAGAAGTTACTGAGAATTCTTCTGTCTAGCATTATATGAAGAAATCCCGTTTCCAACGAAGGCCTCAAATACATCCAAATATCCAGTTGCTGACTTTACAAACTGAGTGTTTCCAAACTGCTCTATGAAAAGAAAGGTTAAACACTGTGAGTTGAACACACACGTACCAAAGTAGTTTCTGAGAATGATTCTGTCTAGTTTGCATACGAAGATATTTCCTTTTCTACCATTGGCCTCAAAGCTCTGAAATCTCCACTTGCAAATTCCACAAAAAGAGAGTTTCAAATCTGCTGTTTCTAAAGGAAAATTCAACTCTGAGAGTTGAATACACACCAGAAAAAGCAGTTACTGAGAAGTCTTCTGTCTAGCATTATATGAAGAAATCCCATTTCCAACGAAGACTTCAAAGAGGTCCAAATATCCACTTGCAGATTCTGCAAAAAGAGTGTTTCGAAACAACTGTATGAAAAGAAAGGTTAAACACTGTGAGTTGAACGCACACATTGCAAAGCAGTTTCTGAGAATGATTCCGTCTAATTATTATACGAAGGTATTTCCTTTTCTATCATTGGCCTCAAAGCGCTTGATACCTCCACCTGAAAATTCCACAAAAAGAGTGTTTCCAATCTACTCTGTCTAAAGGAACGTTCAACTCTGTGAGTTGAATACACACACACAGAAAGAATTCACTGAGAATTCTTCTGTCTGGCATTACATGAAGAAATCCCGTTTCCAACGAAGGCCTCAAAGAGGTCCAAATATCCACTTGCAGATTCTGCAAAAAGAGTGTTTCAAAACCGCTCCATTAAAAGGAATGTTGAAGTCTGTGAGTTGAATGCAAACATCACAACTCAGTTTCTGAGAATGCTTCTGACTAGATTTTATGGTAAGATATTTCCTTTTCTACCGTAGGCTTCAATGCCCTCTAAATACACCCTTGCAAATTCTACAAAGAGACTGTTTCATAACTGCTCTATAGGAAGAAAGGTTCAACTCTGTGAGTTGAATGCAGAGATCACAACGTGGTTTCTGCGAATGATTCTTTGTAGTTTTTACATGAAGATATTTCGTTGTCAACCGTAGGCTTCAAAGCACTCAAAGTATTCACTTGGAACTTTTACAAAAAGAGTGTTAGAAAACTGCTCTTTCCAAAGTAAGGTTCAACTCTGTGAGTTGAATGCACACATAACAATCAAGAAGTTTCTGAGAATTCTTCTGTCCTGGTTTATATGAAAAAATCCCGTTTCCAACGAAGGCCTCAAAGACGTTTAAATATCCACTTGCAGACTTCACAAACAGAGGGTTTCCAAACTGCTCTATGAAAAGAAAGGTTAAACTCTGTGAGTTGAACGCACACATCACAAAGTAGCTTCTGAGAATGATACTGTCTAGTTTTTATACGAAGATATTTCCTTTCTACCATTGGCGTCAAAGCGCTAGAATTCTCCACTTGCAAATTCCACAAAAAGAGTGTTTCCAATCTGCTCTGTCTAAAGGAAGGTTCAACTCTGTGAGTTGAATACACACACACAAAGAAGCTACTGAGAATTCTTTTGTCAAGAATTATAAGAAGAAATCCCGTTTCCAACGAAGGCCTCAAAGAGTTCCAAATATCCACTTGCACACTGCACAAACTAAGTCTTTCCAAACTGCTCTATGCAAAGAAATGTTCAACTCTGTGAGTTTAATACACACATCACAAAGCAGTTTCTGAGAATGATACTGTCTAGTTTTTATACGAAGATATTTCCTTTTGTACCATTGGCCTCATACTGCTAGAATTTTCCACTTGCAAATTCCACAAAAAGAGTGTTTCCAATCCGCTCTGTCTAAAGGAAGGTTCAACTCTCTGATTTGAATACATACATCCCAAAAGAAGTTACTGAGAATTCTTCTGTCTAGCATTATGTGAAGAAATCCCGTTTCCAACGAAAGCCTCAAAGAGGTCCAAATATCCAGTTGCAGAATTTACAAACTGACTGTTTCCAAACTCATCTATGAAAAGAAAGGTTAAACTCTGTGAGTTGAATGCACATATCACAAAGTAGTTCCTGAGAATGATTCTGTCTAGTTTTCATACGAAGATATTTCCTTTTCCACCAATGGCCTCAAAGTGCTTGAAATCTCCCCTTGCAAATTCCACAGACAAGTGTTTCAAATCTGCACTGTCTAAAGGAAGGTTCAACCCTGTGAGTTGAATACACACACACAGAAAAAAATTCACTGAGAATTCTATTGTCTATCATTACACGAAGAAATCCCGTTTACCACGAAGGCCTCAAAGAGGTCCAAATATCCAGCTGCAGACATTACAAACTGAGTGTTTCCAAAGTGCTCTATGAAAAGAAGTGTTAAACACTGTGAGTTCAATGCACACATCCCAAAGCAGTTTCTGAGAATGATTCCGTCTATTTTTTCTACGAAGATATTTCCTTTTCTGCCGTTGGCCTCAAAGCGCTTGAAATCTCCACTTGCAAATTCCACAAAAAGAGAGTTTCAAATCTGCTCTGTCTAAAGGAAGGTTCAACTCTGTGAGTTGAATACACACCACAAAAAGAAGTTACTGAGAATTCTTCTGTCTAGCATTATATGAAAAATCCCGTTTCCAACGAAGGCCACAAAGAGGTCCAAATATCCACTTGCAGATTCTGCAAAAAGAGTGTTTCCAAACTGCTCTATGAAAAGAAACGTTAAACTCTGTGAGTTGAACGCAAACATCACAAAGTAGTTTCTGAGAATGACTCCGTCTAGTTTTTATACGAAGATATTTCCTTTCCTACCATTCACTTCAAAGCGCTTGAAGTCTCCCCCTGAAAATTCCACAAAAAGTGTTTCCAATCTGCTCCGCCTAAAGGAAGCTTCAACTCTGTGAGTTGAATACCCACAACCCAAAGAAGTTACTGAGAATTCTTCTGTCTAGCATTATATGAAGAAATCCCGTTTCCAACGAAGGCCTCAAATACATCCAAATATCCAGTTGCTGACTTTACAAACTGAGTGTTTCCAAACTGCTCTATGAAAAGAAAGGTTAAACACTGTGAGTTGAACACACACGTACCAAAGTAGTTTCTGAGAATGATTCTGTCTAGTTTGCATACGAAGATATTTCCTTTTCTACCATTGGCCTCAAAGCTCTGAAATCTCCACTTGCAAATTCCACAAAAAGAGAGTTTCAAATCTGCTGTTTGTAAAGGAAAGTTCAACTCTGAGAGTTGAATACACACCAGAAAAAGCAGTTACTGAGAAGTCTTCTGTCTAGCATTATATGAAGAAATCCCATTTCCAACGAAGACTTCAAAGAGGTCCAAATATCCACTTGCAGATTCTGCAAAAAGAGTGTTTCGAAACAACTGTATGAAAAGAAAGGTTAAACACTGTGAGTTGAACGCACACATTGCAAAGCAGTTTCTGAGAATGATTCCGTCTAATTATTATACGAAGGTATTTCCTTTTCTATCATTGGCCTCAAAGCGCTTGATACCTCCACCTGAAAATTCCACAAAAAGAGTGTTTCCAATCTACTCTGTCTAAAGGAACGTTCAACTCTGTGAGTTGAATACACACACACAGAAAGAATTCACTGAGAATTCTTCTGTCTGGCATTACATGAAGAAATCCCGTTTCCAACGAAGGCCTCAAAGAGGTCCAAATATCCACTTGCAGATTCTGCAAAAAGAGTGTTTCAAAACCGCTCCATTAAAAGGAATGTTGAACTCTGTGAGTTGAATGGAAACATCACAACTCAGTTGCTGAGAATGCTTCTGACTAGATTTTATGGTAAGATATTTCCTTTTATACCGTAGGCTTCAATGCCCTCTAAATACACCCTTGCAAATTCTACAAAGAGACTGTTTCATAACTGCTCTATAGGAAGAAAGGTTCAACTCTGTGAGTTGAATGCAGAGATCACAACGTGGTTTCTGCGAATGATTCTTTGTAGTTTTTACATGAAGATATTTCGTTGTCAACCGTAGGCTTCAAAGCACTCAAAGTATTCACTTGGAACTTTTACAAAAAGAGTGTTAGAAAACCGCTCTTTCCAAAGTAAGGTTCAACTCTGTGAGTTGAATGCACCCATAACAATCAAGAAGTTTCTGAGAATTCTTCTGTCCTGGTTTATATGAAGAAATCCCGTTTCCAACGAAGGCCTCAAAGACGTTTAAATATCCACTTGCAGACTTCACAAACAGAGGGTTTCCAAACTGCTCTATGAAAAGAAAGGTTAAACTCTGTGAGTTGAACGCACACATCACAAAGTAGCTTCTGAGAATGATACTGTCTAGTTTTTATACGAAGATATTTCCTTTCTACCATTGGCGTCAAAGCGCTAGAATTCTCCACTTGCAAATTCCACAAAAAGAGTGTTTCCAATCTGCTCTGTCTAAAGGAAGGTTCAACTCTGTGAGTTGAATACACACACACAAAGAAGCTACTGAGAATTCTTTTGTCAAGAATTATAAGAAGAAATCCCGTTTCCAACGAAGGCCTCAAAGAGTTCCAAATATCCACTTGCACACTGCACAAGCTAAGTCTTTCCAAACTGCTCTATGCAAAGAAATGTTCAACTCTGTGAGTTTAATACACACATCACAAAGCAGTTTCTGAGAATGATACTGTCTAGTTTTTATACGAAGATATTTCCTTTTGTACCATTGGCCTCATACTGCTAGAATTTTCCACTTGCAAATTCCACAAAAAGAGTGTTTCCAATCCGCTCTGTCTAAAGGAAGGTTCAACTCTCTGATTTGAATACATACATCCCAAAAGAAGTTACTGAGAATTCTTCTGTCTAGCATTATGTGAAGAAATCCCGTTTCCAACGAAAGCCTCAAAGAGGTCCAAATATCCAGTTGCAGAATTTACAAACTGACTGTTTCCAAACTCATCTATGAAAAGAAAGGTTAAACTCTGTGAGTTGAATGCACATATCACAAAGTAGTTCCTGAGAATGATTCTGTCTAGTTTTTATACGAAGATATTCCCTTTTCCACCAATGGCCTCAAAGTGCTTGAAATCTCCCCTTACAAATTCCACAGAAAAGTGTTTCAAATCTGCACTGTCTGAAGGAAGGTTCAACTCTGTGAGTTGAATGCACACACACAGAAAAAAATTCACTGAGAATTCTATTGTCTATCATTACACGAAGAAATCCCGTTTACTACGAAGGCCTCAAAGAGGTCCACATATCCAGCTGCAGACATTACAAACTGAGTGTTTCCAAAGTGCTCTATGAAAAGAAGTGTTAAACACTGTGAGTTCAATGCACACATCCCAAATCAGTTTCTGAGAATGATTCCGTCTATTTTTTCTACGAAGATATTTCCTTTTCTGCCGTTGGCCTCAAAGCGCTTGAAATCTCCACTTGCAAATTCCACAAAAAGAGAGTTTCAAATCTGCTCTGTCTAAAGGAAGGTTCAACTCTGTGAGTTGAATACACACCACAAAAAGAAGTTACTGAGAATTCTTCTGTCTAGCATTATATGAAAAATCCCGTTTCCAACGAAGGCCACAAAGAGGTCCAAATATCCACTTGCAGATTCTGCAAAAAGAGTGTTTCCAAACTGCTCTATGAAAAGAAACGTTAAACTCTGTGAGTTGAACGCAAACATCACAAAGTAGTTTCTGAGAATGACTCCGTCTAGTTTTTATACGAAGATATTTCCTTTCCTACCATTCACTTCAAAGCGCTTGAAGTCTCCCCCTGAAAATTCCACAAAAAGTGTTTCCAATCTGCTCCGCCTAAAGGAAGCTTCAACTCTGTGACTTGAATACCCACAACCCAAAGAAGTTACTGAGAATTCTTCTGTCTAGCATTATATGAAGAAATCCCGTTTCCAACGAAGGCCTCAAATACATCCAAATATCCAGTTGCTGACTTTACAAACTGAGTGTTTCCAAACTGCTCTATGAAAAGAAAGGTTAAACACTGTGAGTTGAACACACACGTACCAAAGTAGTTTCTGAGAATGATTCTGTCTAGTTTGCATACGAAGATATTTCCTTTTCTACCAGTGGCCTCAAAGCTCTGAAATCTCCACTTGCAAATTCCACAAAAAGAGAGTTTCAAATCTGCTGTTTCTAAAGGAAAGTTCAACTCTGAGAGTTGAATACACACCAGAAAAAGCAGTTACTGAGAAGTGTTCTGTCTAGCATTGTATGAAGAAATCCCATTTCCAACGAAGACTTCAAAGAGGTCCAAATATCCACTTGCAGATTCTGCAAAAAGAGTGTTTCGAAACAACTGTATGAAAAGAAAGGTTAAACACTGTGAGTTGAACGCACACATTGCAAAGCAGTTTCTGAGAATGATTCCGTCTAATTATTATACGAAGGTATTTCCTTTTCTATCATTGGCCTCAAAGCGCTTGATACCTCCACCTGAAAATTCCACAAAAAGAGTGTTTCCAATCTACTCTGTCTAAAGGAACGTTCAACTCTGTGAGTTGAATACACACACACAGAAAGAATTCACTGAGAATTCTTCTGTCTGGCATTACATGAAGAAATCCCGTTTCCAACGAAGACCTCAAAGAGGTCCAAATATCCACTTGCAGATTCTGCAAAAAGAGTGTTTCAAAACCGCTCCATTAAAAGGAATGTTGAACTCTGTGAGTTGAATGCAAACATCACAACTCAGTTGCTGAGAATGCTTCTGACTAGATTTTATGGTAAGATATTTCCTTTTCTACCGTAGGCTTCAATGCCCTCTAAATACACCCTTGCAAATTCTACAAAGAGACTGTTTCATAACTGCTCTATAGGAAGAAAGGTTGAACTCTGTGAGTTGAATGCAGAGATCACAACGTGGTTTCTGCGAATGATTCTTTGTAGTTTTTACATGAAGATATTTCGTTGTCAACCGTAGGCTTCAAAGCACTCAAAGTATTCACTTGGAACTTTTACAAAAAGAGTATTAGAAAACTGCTCTTTCCAAAGTAAGGTTCAACTCTGTGAGTTGAATGCACACATAACAATCAAGAAGTTTCTGAGAATTCTTCTGTCCTGGTTTATATGAAAAAATCCCGTTTCCAACGAAGGCCTCAAAGACGTTTAAATATCCACTTGCAGACTTCACAAACAGAGGGTTTCCAAACTGCTCTATGAAAAGAAAGGTTAAACTCTGTGAGTTGAACGCACACATCACAAAGTAGCTTCTGAGAATGATACTGTCTAGTTTTTATACGAAGATATTTCCTTTCTACCATTGGCGTCAAAGCGCTAGAATTCTCCACTTGCAAATTCCACAAAAAGAGTGTTTCCAATCTGCTCTGTCTAAAGGAAGGTTCAACTCTGTGAGTTGAATACACACACACAAAGAAGCTACTGAGAATTCTTTTTTCAAGAAATTATAAGAAGAAATCCCGTTTCCAACGAAGGCCTCAAAGAGTTCCAAATATCCACTTGCACACTGCACAAACTAAGTCTTTCCAAACTGCTCTATGCAAAGAAATGTTCAACTCTGTGAGTTTAATACACACATCACAAAGCAGTTTCTGAGAATGATACTGTCTAGTTTTTATACGAAGATATTTCCTTTTGTACCATTGGCCTCATACTGCTAGAATTTTCCACTTGCAAATTCCACAAAAAGAGTGTTTCCAATCCGCTCTGTCTAAAGGAAGGTTCAACTCTCTGATTTGAATACATACATCCCAAAAGAAGTTACTGAGAATTCTTCTGTCTAGCATTATGTGAAGAAATCCCGTTTCCAACGAAAGCCTCAAAGAGGTCCAAATATCCAGTTGCAGAATTTACAAACTGACTGTTTCCAAACTCATCTATGAAAAGAAAGGTTAAACTCTGGGAGTTGAATGCACATATCACAAAGTAGTTCCTGAGAATGATTCTGTCTAGTTTTTATACGAAGATATTTCCTTTTCCACCAATGGCCTCAAAGTGCTTGAAATCTCCCCTTGCAAATTCCACAGACAAGTGTTTCAAATCTGCACTGTCTAAAGGAAGGTTCAACCCTGTGAGTTGAATACACACACACAGAAAAAAATTCACTGAGAATTCTATTGTCTATCATTACACGAAGAAATCCCGTTTACTACGAAGGCCTCAAAGAGGTCCAAATATCCAGCTGCAGACATTACAAACTGAGTGTTTCCAAAGTGCTCTATGAAAAGAAGTGTTAAACACTGTGAGTTCAATGCACACATCCCAAAGCAGTTTCTGAGAATGATTCCGTCTATTTTTTCTACGAAGATATTTCCTTTTCTGCCGTTGGCCTCAAAGCGCTTGAAATCTCCACTTGCAAATTCCACAAAAAGAGAGTTTCAAATCTGCTCTGTCTAAAGGAAGGTTCAACTCTGTGAGTTGAATACACACCACAAAAAGAAGTTACTGAGAATTCTTCTGTCTAGCATTATATGAAAAATCCCGTTTCCAACGAAGGCCACAAAGAGGTCCAAATATCCACTTGCAGATTCTGCAAAAAGAGTGTTTCCAAACTGCTCTATGAAAAGAAACGTTAAACTCTGTGAGTTGAACGCAAACATCACAAAGTAGTTTCTGAGAATGACTCCGTCTAGTTTTTATACGAAGATATTTCCTTTCCTACCATTCACTTCAAAGCGCTTGAAGTCTCCCCCTGAAAATTCCACAAAAAGTGTTTCCAATCTGCTCCGCCTAAAGGAAGCTTCAACTCTGTGACTTGAATACCCACAACCCAAAGAAGTTACTGAGAATTCTTCTGTCTAGCATTACATGAAGAAATCCCGTTTCCAACGAAGTCCTCAAATACATCCAGATATCCAGTTGCTGACTTTACAAACTGAGTGTTTCCAAACTACTCTATGAAAGGAAAGGTTAAACACTGTGAGTTGAACACACACGTACCAAAGTAGTTTCTGAGAATGATTCTGTCTAGTTTGCATACGAAGGATATTTCCTTTTCTACCATTGGCCTCAAAGCTTTGAAATCTCCACTTGCAAATTCCACAAAAAGAGAGTTTCAACTCTGCTGTTTCTAAAGGAAAGTTCAACTCTGAGAGTTGAATACACACCAGAAAAAGCAGTTACTGAGAAGTCTTCTGTCTAGCATTATATGAAGAAATCCCATTTCCAACGAAGACTTCAAAGAGGTCCAAATATCCACTTGCAGATTCTGCAAAAAGAGTGTTTCGAAACAACTGTATGAAAAGAAAGGTTAAACACTGTGAGTTGAACGCACACATTGCAGAGCAGTTTCTGAGAATGATTCCGTCTAATTATTATACGAAGGTATTTCCTTTTCTATCATTGGCCTCAAAGCGCTTGATACCTCCACCTGAAAATTCCACAAAAAGAGTGTTTCCAATCTACTCTGTCTAAAGGAACGTTCAACTCCGTGAGTTGAATACACACACACAGAAAGAATTCACTGAGAATTCTTCTGTCTGGCATTACATGAAGAAATCCCGTTTCCAACGAAGGCCTCAAAGAGGTCCAAATATCCACTTGCAGATTCTGCAAAAAGAGTGTTTCAAAACCGCTCCATTAAAAGGAATGTTGAACTCTGTGAGTTGAATGCAAACATCACAACTCAGTTTCTGAGAATGCTTCTGACTAGATTTTATGGTAAGATATTTCCTTTTCTACCGTAGGCTTCAATGCCCTGTAAATACACCCTTGCAAATTCTACAAAGAGACTGCTTCATAACTGCTCTATAGGAGGAAAGGTTCAACTCTGTGAGTTGAATGCAGAGATCACAACGTGGTTTCTGCGAATGATTCTTTGTAGTTTTTACATGAAGATATTTCGTTGTCTACCGTAGGCTTCAAAGCACTCAAAGTATTCACTTGGAACTTTTACAAAAAGAGTGTTAGAAAACTGCTCTTTCCAAAGTAAGGTTCAACTCTGTGAGTTGAATGCACACATAACAAACAAGAAGTTTCTGAGAATTCTTCTGTCCTGGTTTATATGAATAAATCCCGTTTCCAACGAAGGCCTCAAAGACGTTTAAATATCCACTTGCAGACTTCACAAACAGAGTGTTTCCAAACTGCTCTATGAAAAGAAAGGTTAAACTCTGTGAGTTGAACGCACACATCACAAAGTAGTTTCTGAGAATGATTCTGTCTAGTTTTTATACGAAGATATTTCCTTTCTACCATTGGCGTCAAAGCGCTAGAATTCTCCACTTGCAAATTCCACAAAAAGAGTGTTTCCAATCTGCTCTGTCTAAAGGAAGGTTCAACTCTGTGAGTTGAATACACACACACAAAGAAGCTACTGAGAATTCTTTTGTCAAGAATTATAAGAAGAAATCCCGTTTCCAACGAAGGCCTCAAAGAGTTCCAAATATCCACTTGCACACTGCACAAACTAAGTCTTTCCAAACTGCTCTATGCAAAGAAATGTTCAACTCTGTGAGTTTAATACACACATCACAAAGCAGTTTCTGAGAATGATACTGTCTAGTTTTTATACGAAGATATTTCCTTTTGTACCATTGGCCTCATACTGCTAGAATTTTCCACTTGCAAATTCCACAAAAAGAGTGTTTCCAATCCGCTCTGTCTAAAGGAAGGTTCAACTCTCTGATTTGAATACATACATCCCAAAAGAAGTTACTGAGAATTCTTCTGTCTAGCATTATGTGAAGAAATCCCGTTTCCAACGAAAGCCTCAAAGAGGTCCAAATATCCAGTTGCAGAATTTACAAACTGACTGTTTCCAAACTCATCTATGAAAAGAAAGGTTAAACTCTGGGAGTTGAATGCACATATCACAAAGTAGTTCCTGAGAATGATTCTGTCTAGTTTTTATACGAAGATATTTCCTTTTCCACCAATGGCCTCAAAGTGCTTGAAATCTCCCCTTGCAAATTCCACAGACAAGTGTTTCAAATCTGCACTGTCTAAAGGAAGGTTCAACCCTGTGAGTTGAATACACACACACAGAAAAAAATTCACTGAGAATTCTATTGTCTATCATTACACGAAGAAATCCCGTTTACTACGAAGGCCTCAAAGAGGTCCAAATATCCAGCTGCAGACATTACAAACTGAGTGTTTCCAAAGTGCTCTATGAAAAGAAGTGTTAAACACTGTGAGTTCAATGCACACATCCCAAAGCAGTTTCTGAGAATGATTCCGTCTATTTTTTCTACGAAGATATTTCCTTTTCTACCGTTGGCCTCAAAGCGCTTGAAATCTCCACTTGCAAATTCCACAAAAAGAGAGTTTCAAATCTGCTCTGTCTAAAGGAAGGTTCAACTCTGTGAGTTGAATACACACCACAAAAAGAAGTTACTGAGAATTCTTCTGTCTAGCATTATATGAAAAATCCCGTTTCCAACGAAGGCCACAAAGAGGTCCAAATATCCACTTGCAGATTCTGCAAAAAGAGTGTTTCCAAACTGCTCTATGAAAAGAAACGTTAAACTCTGTGAGTTGAACGCAAACATCACAAAGTAGTTTCTGAGAATGACTCCGTCTAGTTTTTATACGAAGATATTTCCTTTCCTACCATTCACTTCAAAACGCTTGAAGTCTCCCCCTGAAAATTCCACAAAAAGTGTTTCCAATCTGCTCCGCCTAAAGGAAGCTTTAACTCTGTGAGTTGAATACCCGCAACCCAAAGAAGTTACTGAGAATTCTTCTGTCTAGCATTATATGAAGAAATCCCGTTTCCAACGAAGGCCTCAAATACATCCAAATATCCAGTTGCTGACTTTACAAACTGAGTGTTTCCAAACTGCTCTATGAAAAGAAAGGTTAAACACTGTGAGTTGAACACACACGTACCAAAGTAGTTTCTGAGAATGATTCTGTCTAGTTTGCATACGAAGATATTTCCTTTTCTACCATTGGCCTCAAAGCTCTGAAATCTCCACTTGCAAATTCCACAAAAAGAGAGTTTCAAATCTGCTGTTTCTAAAGGAAAGTTCAACTCTGAGAGTTGAATACACACCAGAAAAAGCAGTTACTGAGAAGTCTTCTGTCTAGCATTATATGAAGAAATCCCATTTCCAACGAAGACTTCAAAGAGGTCCAAATATCCACTTGCAGATTCTGCAAAAAGAGTGTTTCGAAACAACTGTATGAAAAGAAAGGTTAAACACTGTGAGTTGAACGCACACATTGCAAAGCGGTTTCTGAGAATGATTCCGTCTAATTATTATACGAAGGTATTTCCTTTTCTATCATTGGCCTCAAAGCGCTTGATACCTCCACCTGAAAATTCCACAAAAAGAGTGTTTCCAATCTACTCTGTCTAAAGGAACGTTCAACTCTGTGAGTTGAATACACACACACAGAAAGAATTCACTGAGAATTCTTCTGTCTGGCATTACATGAAGAAATCCCGTTTCCAACGAAGGCCTCAAAGAGGTCCAAATATCCACTTGCAGATTCTGCAAAAAGAGTGTTTCAAAACCGCTCCATTAAAAGGAATGTTGAACTCTGTGAGTTGAATGCAAACATCACAACTCAGTTGCTGAGAATGCTTCTGACTAGATTTTATGGTAAGATATTTCCTTTTCTACCGTAGGCTTCAATGCCCTCTAAATACACCCTTGCAAATTCTACAAAGAGACTGTTTCATAACTGCTCTATAGGAAGAAAGGTTCAACTCTGTGAGTTGAATGCAGAGATCACAACGTGGTTTCTGCGAATGATTCTTTGTAGTTTTTACATGAAGATATTTCGTTGTCAACCGTAGGCTTCAAAGCACTCAAAGTATTCACTTGGAACTTTTACAAAAAGAGTGTTAGAAAACTGCTCTTTCCAAAGTAAGGTTCAACTCTGTGAGTTGAATGCACCCATAACAATCAAGAAGTTTCTGAGAATTCTTCTGTCCTGGTTTATATGAAAAAATCCCGTTTCCAACGAAGGCCTCAAAGACGTTTAAATATCCACATGCAGACTTCACAAACAGAGTGTTTCCAAACTGCTCTATGAAAAGAAAGGTTAAACTCTGTGAGTTGAACGCACACATCACAAAGTAGTTTCTGAGAATGATACTGTCTAGTTTTTATACGAAGATATTTCCTTTCTACCATTGGCGTCAAAGCGCTAGAATTCTCCACTTGCAAATTCCACAAAAAGTGTGTTTCCAATCTGCTCTGTCTAAAGGAAGGTTCAACTCTGTGAGTTGAATACACACACACAAAGAAGCTACTGAGAATTCTTTTGTCAAGAATTATAAGACGAAATCCCGTTTCCAACGAAGGCCTCAAAGAGTTCCAAATATCCACTTGCACACTGTACAAACTAAGTTTTTCCAAACTGCTCTATGCAAAGAAATGTTCAACTCTGTGAGTTTAATACACACATCACAAAGCAGTTTCTGAGAATGATTACTGTCTAGTTTTTATACGAAGATATTTCCTTTTGTACCATTGGCCTCATACTGCTAGAATTTTCCACTTGCAAATTCCACAAAAAGAGTGTTTCCAATCCGCTCTGTCTAAAGGAAGGTTCAACTCTCTGATTTGAATACATACATCCCAAAAGAAGTTACTGAGAATTCTTCTGTCTAGCATTATGTGAAGAAATCCCGTTTCCAACGAAAGCCTCAAAGAGGTCCAAATATCCAGTGGCAGAATTTACAAACTGACTGTTTCCAAACTCATCTATGAAAAGAAAGGTTAAACTCTGGGAGTTGAATGCACATATCACAAAGTAGTTCCTGAGAATGATTCTGTCTAGTTTTTATACGAAGATATTTCCTTTTCCACCAATGGCCTCAAAGTGCTTGAAATCTCCCCTTGCAAATTCCACAGACAAGTGTTTCAAATCTGCACTGTCTAAAGGAAGGTTCAACCCTGTGAGTTGAATACACACACACAGAAAAAAATTCACTGAGAATTCTATTGTCTATCATTACACGAAGAAATCCCGTTTACTACGAAGGCCTCAAAGAGGTCCAAATATCCAGCTGCAGACATTACAAACTGAGTGTTTCCAAATTGCTCTATGAAAAGAAGTGTTAAACACTGTGAGTTCAATGCACACATCCCAAAGCAGTTTCTGAGAATGATTCCGTCTATTTTTTCTACGAAGATATTTCCTTTTCTGCCGTTGGCCTCAAAGCGCTTGAAATCTCCACTTGCAAATTCCACAAAAAGAGAGTTTCAAATCTGCTCTGTCTAAAGGAAGGTTCAACTCTGTGAGTTGAATACACACCACAAAAAGAAGTTACTGAGAATTCTTCTGTCTAGCATTATATGAAAAATCCCGTTTCCAACGAAGGCCACAAAGAGGTCCAAATATCCACTTGCAGATTCTGCAAAAAGAGTGTTTCCAAACTGCTCTATGAAAAGAAACGTTAAACTCTGTGAGTTGAACGCAAACATCACAAAGTAGTTTCTGAGAATGACTCCGTCTAGTTTTTATACGAAGATATTTCCTTTCCTACCATTCACTTCAAAGCGCTTGAAGTCTCCCCCTGAAAATTCCACAAAAAGTGTTTCCAATCTGCTCCGCCTAAAGGAAGCTTCAACTCTGTGACTTGAATACCCACAACCCAAAGAAGTTACTGAGAATTCTTCTGTCTAGCACTATATGAAGAAATCCCGTTTCCAACGAAGGCCTCAAATACATCCAAATATCCAGTTGCTGACTTTACAAACTGAGTGTTTCCAAACTGCTCTATGAAAAGAAAGGTTAAACACTGTGAGTTGAACACACACGTACCAAAGTAGTTTCTGAGAATGATTCTGTCTAGTTTGCATACGAAGATATTTCCTTTTCTACCATTGGCCTCAAAGCTCTGAAATCTCCACTTGCAAATTCCACAAAAAGAGAGTTTCAAATCTGCTGTTTCTAAAGGAAAGTTCAACTCTGAGAGTTGAATACACACCAGAAAAAGCAGTTACTGAGAAGTCTTCTGTCTAGCATTATATGAAGAAATCCCATTTCCAACGAAGACTTCAAAGAGGTCCAAATATCCACTTGCAGATTCTGCAAAAAGAGTGTTTCGAAACAACTGTATGAAAAGAAAGGTTAAACACTGTGAGTTGAACGCACACATTGCAAAGCAGTTTCTGAGAATGATTCCGTCTAATTATTATACGAAGGTATTTCCTTTTCTATCATTGGCCTCAAAGCGCTTGATACCTCCACCTGAAAATTCCACAAAAAGAGTGTTTCCAATCTACTCTGTCTAAAGGAACGTTCAACTCTGTGAGTTGAATACACACACACAGAAAGAATTCACTGAGAATTCTTCTGTCTGGCATTACATGAAGAAATCCCGTTTCCAACGAAGGCCTCAAAGAGGTCCAAATATCCACTTGCAGATTCTGCAAAAAGAGTGTTTCAAAACCGCTCCATTAAAAGGAATGTTGAACTCTGTGAGTTGAATGGAAACATCACAACTCAGTTGCTGAGAATGCTTCTGACTAGATTTTATGGTAAGATATTTCCTTTTCTACCGTAGGCTTCAATGCCCTCTAAATACACCCTTGCAAATTCTACAAAGAGACTGTTTCACAACTGCTCTATAGGAAGAAAGGTTCAACTCTGTGAGTTGAATGCAGAGATCACAACGTGGTTTCTGCGAATGATTCTTTGTAGTTTTTACAGGAAGATATTTCGTTGTCAACCGTAGGCTTCAAAGCACTCAAAGTATTCACTTGGAACTTTTACAAAAAGAGTGTTAGAAAACTGCTCTTTCCAAAGTAAGGTTCAACTCTGTGAGTTGAATGCACACATAACAATCAAGAAGTTTCTGAGAATTCTTCTGTCCTGGTTTATATGAAAAAATCCCGTTTCCAACGAAGGCCTCAAAGACGTTTAAATATCCACTTGCAGACTTCACAAACAGAGGGTTTCCAAACTGCTCTATGAAAAGAAAGGTTAAACTCTGTGAGTTGAACGCACACATCACAAAGTAGCTTCTGAGAATGATACTGTCTAGTTTTTATACGAAGATATTTCCTTTCTACCATTGGCGTCAAAGCGCTAGAATTCTCCACTTGCAAATTCCACAAAAAGAGTGTTTCCAATCTGCTCTGTGTAAAGGAAGGTTCAACTCTGTGAGTTGAATACACACACACAAAGAAGCTACTGAGAATTCTTTTTTCAAGAAATTATAAGAAGAAATCCCGTTTCCAACGAAGGCCTCAAAGAGTTCCAAATATCCACTTGCACACTGCACAAACTAAGTCTTTCCAAACTGCTCTATGCAAAGAAATGTTCAACTCTGTGAGTTTAATACACACATCACAAAGCAGTTTCTGAGAATGGTACTGTCTAGTTTTTATACGAAGATATTTCCTTTTGTACCATTGGCCTCATACTGCTAGAATTTTCCACTTGCAAATTCCACAAAAAGAGTGTTTCCAATCCGCTCTGTCTAAAGGAAGGTTCAACTCTCTGATTTGAATACATACATCCCAAAAGAAGTTACTGAGAATTCTTCTGTCTAGCATTATGTGAAGAAATCCCGTTTCCAACGAAAGCCTCAAAGAGGTCCAAATATCCAGTTGCAGAATTTACAAACTGACTGTTTCCAAACTCATCTATGAAAAGAAAGGTTAAACTCTGGGAGTTGAATGCACATATCACAAAGTAGTTCCTGAGAATGATTCTGTCTAGTTTTTATACGAAGATATTTCCTTTTCCACCAATGGCCTCAAAGTGCTTGAAATCTCCCCTTGCAAATTCCACAGACAAGTGTTTCAAATCTGCACTGTCTAAAGGAAGGTTCAACCCTGTGAGTTGAATACACACACACAGAAAGAAATTCACTGAGAATTCTATTGTCTATCATTACACGAAGAAATCCCGTTTACTACGAAGGCCTCAAAGAGGTCCAAATATCCAGCTGCAGACATTACAAACTGAGTGTTTCCAAAGTGCTCTATGAAAAGAAGTGTTAAACACTGTGAGTTCAATGCACACATCCCAAAGCAGTTTCTGAGAATGATTCCGTCTATTTTTTCTACGAAGATATTTCCTTTTCTGCCGTTGGCCTCAAAGCGCTTGAAATCTCCACTTGCAAATTCCACAAAAAGAGAGTTTCAAATCTGCTCTGTCTAAAGGAAGGTTCAACTCTGTGAGTTGAATACACACCACAAAAAGAAGTTACTGAGAATTCTTCTGTCTAGCATTATATGAAAAATCCCGTTTCCAACGAAGGCCACAAAGAGGTCCAAATATCCACTTGCAGATTCTGCAAAAAGAGTGTTTCCAAACTGCTCTATGAAAAGAAACGTTAAACTCTGTGAGTTGAACGCAAACATCACAAAGTAGTTTCTGAGAATGACTCCGTCTAGTTTTTATACGAAGATATTTCCTTTCCTACCATTCACTTCAAAGCGCTTGAAGTCTCCCCCTGAAAATTCCACAAAAAGTGTTTCCAATCTGCTCCGCCTAAAGGAAGCTTCAACTCTGTGACTTGAATACCCACAACCCAAAGAAGTTACTGAGAATTCTTCTGTCTAGCATTATATGAAGAAATCCCGTTTCCAACGAAGGCCTCAAATACATCCAAATATCCAGTTGCTGACTTTACAAACTGAGTGTTTCCAAACTGCTCTATGAAAAGAAAGGTTAAACACTGTGAGTTGAACACACACGTACCAAAGTAGTTTCTGAGAATGATTCTGTCTAGTTTGCATACGAAGATATTTCCTTTTCTACCATTGGCCTCAAAGCTCTGAAATCTCCACTTGCAAATTCCACAAAAAGAGAGTTTCAAATCTGCTGTTTCTAAAGGAAAGTTCAACTCTGAGAGTTGAATACACACCAGAAAAAGCAGTTACTGAGAAGTCTTCTGTCTAGCATTATATGAAGAAATCCCATTTCCAACGAAGACTTCAAAGAGGTCCAAATATCCACTTGCAGATTCTGCAAAAAGAGTGTTTCGAAACAACTGTATGAAAAGAAAGGTTAAACACTGTGAGTTGAACGCACACATTGCAAAGCAGTTTCTGAGAATGATTCCGTCTAATTATTATACGAAGGTATTTCCTTTTCTATCATTGGCCTCAAAGCGCTTGATACCTCCACCTGAAAATTCCACAAAAAGAGTGTTTCCAATCTACTCTGTCTAAAGGAACGTTCAACTCTGTGAGTTGAATACACACACACAGAAAGAATTCACTGAGAATTCTTCTGTCTGGCATTACATGAAGAAATCCCGTTTCCAACGAAGGCCTCAAAGAGGTCCAAATATCCACTTGCAGATTCTGCAAAAAGAGTGTTTCAAAACCGCTCCATTAAAAGGAATGTTGAACTCTGTGAGTTGAATGGAAACATCACAACTCAGTTGCTGAGAATGCTTCTGACTAGATTTTATGGTCAGATATTTCCTTTTCTACCGTAGGCTTCAATGCCCTCTAAATACACCCTTGCAAATTCTACAAAGAGACTGTTTAATAACTGCTCTATAGGAAGAAAGGTTGAACTCTGTGGGTTGAATGCAGAGATCACAACGTGGTTTCGGCGAATGATTCTTTGTAGTTTTACATGAAGATATTTCGTTGTCAACCGTAGGCTTCAAAGCACTCAAAGTATTCACTTGGAACTTTTACAAAAAGAGTGTTAGAAAACTGCTCTTTCCAAAGTAAGGTTCAACTCTGTGAGTTGAATGCACACATAACAATCAAGAAGTTTCTGAGAATTCTTCTGTCCTGGTTTATATGAACAAATCCCGTTTCCAACGAAGGCCTCAAAGACGTTTAAATATCCACTTGCAGACTTCACAAACAGAGTGTTTCCAAACTGCTCTATGAAAAGAAAGGTTAAACTCTGTGAGTTGAACGCACACATCACAAAGTAGTTTCTGAGAATGATACTGTCTAGTTTTTATACGAAGATATTTCCTTTCTACCATTGGCGTCAAAGCGCTAGAATTCTCCACTTGCAAATTCCACAAAAAGAGTGTTTCCAATCTGCTCTAAAGGAAGGTTCAACTCTGTGAGTTGAATACACACACACAAAGAAGCTACTGAGAATTCTTTTGTCAAGAATTATAAGAAGAAATCCCGTTTCCAACGAAGGCCTCAAAGAGTTCCAAATATCCACTTGCACACTGCACAAACTAAGTCTTTCCAAACTGCTCTATGCAAAGAAATGTTCAACTCTGTGAGTTTAATACACATATCACAAAGCAGTTTCTGAGAATGATACTGTCTAGTTTTTATACGAACATATTTCCTTTTGTACCATTGGCCTCATACTGCTAGAATTTTCCACTTGCAAATTCCACAAAAAGAGTGTTTCCAATCCGCTCTGTCTAAAGGAAGGTTCAACTCTCTGATTTGAATACATACATCCCAAAAGAAGTTACTGAGAATTCTTCTGTCTAGCATTATGTGAAGAAATCCCGTTTCCAACGAAAGCCTCAAAGAGGTCCAAATATCCAGTTGCAGAATTTACAAACTGACTGTTTCCAAACTCATCTATGAAAAGAAAAGTTAAACTCTGTGAGTTGAATGCACATATCACAAAGTAGTTCCTGAGAATGATTCTGTCTAGTTTTTATACGAAGATATTTCCTTTTCCACCAATGGCCTCAAAGTGCTTGAAATCTCCCCTTGCAAATTCCACAGACAAGTGTTTCAAATCTGCACTGTCTAAAGGAAGGTTCAACCCTGTGAGTTGAATACACACACACAGAAACAAATTCACTGAGAATTCTATTGTCTATCATTACACGAAGAAATCCCGTTTACTACGAAGGCCTCAAAGAGGTCCAAATATCCAGCTGCAGACATTACAAACTGAGTGTTTCCAAAGTGCTCTATGAAAAGAAGTGTTAAACACTGTGAGTTCAATGCACACATCCCAAAGCAGTTTCTGAGAATGATTCCGTCTATTTTTTCTACGAAGATATTTCCTTTTCTGCCGTTGGCCTCAAAGCGCTTGAAATCTCCACTTGCAAATTCCACAAAAAGAGAGTTTCAAATCTGCTCTGTCTAAAGGAAGGTTCAACTCTGTGAGTTGAATACACACCACAAAAAGAAGTTACTGAGAATTCTTCTGTCTAGCATTATATGAAAAATCCCGTTTCCAACGAAGGCCACAAAGAGGTCCAAATATCCACTTGCAGATTCTGCAAAAAGAGTGTTTCCAAACTGCTCTATGAAAAGAAACGTTAAACTCTGTGAGTTGAACGCAAACATCACAAAGTAGTTTCTGAGAATGACTCCGTCTAGTTTTTATACGAAGATATTTCCTTTCCTACCATTCACTTCAAAGCGCTTGAAGTCTCCCCCTGAAAATTCCACAAAAAGTGTTTCCAATCTGCTCCGCCTAAAGGAAGCTTCAACTCTGTGACTTGAATACCCACAACCCAAAGAAGTTACTGAGAATTCTTCTGTCTAGCACTATATGAAGAAATCCCGTTTCCAACGAAGGCCTCAAATACATCCAAATATCCAGTTGCTGACTTTACAAACTGAGTGTTTCCAAACTGCTCTATGAAAAGAAAGGTTAAACACTGTGAGTTGAACACACACGTACCAAAGTAGTTTCTGAGAATGATTCTGTCTAGTTTGCATACGAAGATATTTCCTTTTCTACCATTGGCCTCAAAGCTCTGAAATCTCCACTTGCAAATTCCACAAAAAGAGAGTTTCAAATCTGCTGTTTCTAAAGGAAAGTTCAACTCTGAGAGTTGAATACACACCAGAAAAAGCAGTTACTGAGAAGTCTTCTGTCTAGCATTATATGAAGAAATCCCATTTCCAACGAAGACTTCAAAGAGGTCCAAATATCCACTTGCAGATTCTGCAAAAAGAGTGTTTCGAAACAACTGTATGAAAAGAAAGGTTAAACACTGTGAGTTGAACGCACACATTGCAAAGCGGTTTCTGAGAATGATTTCCGTCTAATTATTATACGAAGGTATTTCCTTTTCTATCATTGGCCTCAAAGCGCTTGATACCTCCACCTGAAAATTCCACAAAAAGCGTGTTTCCAATCTACTCTGTCTAAAGGAACGTTCAACTCTGTGAGTTGAATACACACACACAGAAAGAATTCACTGAGAATTCTTCTGTCTGGCATTACATGAAGAAATCCCGTTTCCAACGAAGACCTCAAAGAGGTCCAAATATCCACTTGCAGATTCTGCAAAAAGAGTGTTTCAAAACCGCTCCATTAAAAGGAATGTTGAACTCTGTGAGTTGAATGCAAACATCACAACTCAGTTGCTGAGAATGCTTCTGACTAGATTTTATGGTAAGATATTTCCTTTTCTGCCGTAGGCTTCAATGCCCTCTAAATACACCCTTGCAAATTCTACAAAGAGACTGTTTCATAACTGCTCTATAGGAAGAAAGGTTGAACTCTGTGAGTTGAATGCAGAGATCACAACGTGGTTTCTGCGAATGATTCTTTGTAGTTTTTACATGAAGATATTTCGTTGTCAACCGTAGGCTTCAAAGCACTCAAAGTATTCACTTGGAACTTTTACAAAAAGAGTATTAGAAAACTGCTCTTTCCAAAGTAAGGTTCAACTCTGTGAGTTGAATGCACACATAACAATCAAGAAGTTTCTGAGAATTCTTCTGTCCTGGTTTATATGAAAAAATCCCGTTTCCAACGAAGGCCTCAAAGACGTTTAAATATCCACTTGCAGACTTCACAAACAGAGGGTTTCCAAACCGCTCTATGAAAAGAAAGGTTAAACTCTGTGAGTTGAACGCACACATCACAAAGTAGCTTCTGAGAATGATACTGTCTAGTTTTTATACGAAGATATTTCCTTTCTACCATTGGCGTCAAAGCGCTAGAATTCTCCACTTGCAAATTCCACAAAAAGAGTGTTTCCAATCTGCTCTGTCTAAAGGAAGGTTCAACTCTGTGAGTTGAATACACACACACAAAGAAGCTACTGAGAATTCTTTTTTCAAGAAATTATAAGAAGAAATCCCGTTTCCAACGAAGGCCTCAAAGAGTTCCAAATATCCACTTGCACACTGCACAAACTAAGTCTTTCCAAACTGCTCTATGCAAAGAAATGTTCAACTCTGTGAGTTTAATACACACATCACAAAGCAGTTTCTGAGAATGATACTGTCTAGTTTTTATACGAAGATATTTCCTTTTGTACCATTGGCCTCATACTGCTAGAATTTTCCACTTGCAAATTCCACAAAAAGAGTGTTTCCAATCCGCTCTGTCTAAAGGAAGGTTCAACTCTCTGATTTGAATACATACATCCCAAAAGAAGTTACTGAGAATTCTTCTGTCTAGCATTATGTGAAGAAATCCCGTTTCCAACGAAAGCCTCAAAGAGGTCCAAATATCCAGTTGCAGAATTTACAAACTGACTGTTTCCAAACTCATCTATGAAAAGAAAGGTTAAACTCTGGGAGTTGAATGCACATATCACAAAGTAGTTCCTGAGAATGATTCTGTCTAGTTTTCATACGAAGATATTTCCTTTTCCACCAATGGCCTCAAAGTGCTTGAAATCTCCCCTTGCAAATTCCACAGACAAGTGTCTCAAATCTGCACTGTCTAAAGGAAGGTTCAACCCTGTGAGTTGAATACACACACACAGAAAAAAATTCACTGAGAATTCTATTGTCTATCATTACACGAAGAAATCCCGTTTACTACGAAGGCCTCAAAGAGGTCCAAATATCCAGCTGCAGACATTACAACCTGAGTGTTTCCAAAGTGCTCTAGGAAAAGAAGTGTTAAACACTGTGAGTTCAATGCACACATCCCAAAGCAGTTTCTGAGAATGATTCCGTCTATTTTTTCTACGAAGATATTTCCTTTTCTGCCGTTGGCCTCAAAGCGCTTGAAATCTCCACTTGCAAATTCCACAAAAAGAGAGTTTCAAATCTGCTCTGTCTAAAGGAAGGTTCAACTCTGTGAGTTGAATACACACCACAAAAAGAAGTTACTGAGAATTCTTCTGTCTAGCATTATATGAAAAATCCCGTTTCCAACGAAGGCCACAAAGAGGTCCAAATATCCACTTGCAGATTCTGCAAAAAGAGTGTTTCCAAACTGCTCTATGAAAAGAAACGTTAAACTCTGTGAGTTGAACGCAAACATCACAAAGTAGTTTCTGAGAATGACTCCGTCTAGTTTTTATACGAAGATATTTCCTTTCCTACCATTCACTTCAAAGCGCTTGAAGTCTCCCCCTGAAAATTCCACAAAAGTGTTTCCAATCTGCTCCGCCTAAAGGAAGCTTCAACTCTGTGACTTGAATACCCACAACCCAAAGAAGTTACTGAGAATTCTTCTGTCTAGCATTATATGAAGAAATCCCGTTTCCAACGAAGGCCTCAAATACATCCAGATATCCAGTTGCTGACTTTACAAACTGAGTGTTTTCAAACTGCTCTATGAAAGGAAAGGTTAAACACTGTGAGTTGAACACACACGTACCAAAGTAGTTTCTGAGAACGATTCTGTCTAGTTTGCATACGAAGATATTTCCTTTTCTACCATTGGCCTCAAAGCTCTGAAATCTCCACTTGCAAATTCCACAAAAAGAGAGTTTCAAATCTGCTGTTTCTAAAGGAAAGTTCAACTCTGAGAGTTGAATACACACCAGAAAAAGCAGTTACTGAGAAGTCTTCTGTCTAGCATTATATGAAGAAATCCCATTTCCAACGAAGACTTCAAAGAGGTCCAAATATCCACTTGCAGATTCTGCAAAAAGAGTGTTTCGAAACAACTGTATGAAAAGAAAGGTTAAACACTGTGAGTTGAACGCACACATTGCAAAGCAGTTTCTGAGAATGATTCCGTCTAATTATTATACGAAGGTATTTCCTTTTCTATCATTGGCCTCAAAGCGCTTGATACCTCCACCTGAAAATTCCACAAAAAGAGTGTTTCCAATCTACTCTGTCTAAAGGAACGTTCAACTCTGTGAGTTGAATACACACACACAGAAAGAATTCACTGAGAATTCTTCTGTCTGGCATTACATGAAGAAATCCCGTTTCCAACGAAGGCCTCAAAGAGGTCCAAATATCCACTTGCAGATTCTGCAAAAAGAGTGTTTCAAAACCGCTCCATTAAAAGGAATGTTGAACTCTGTGAGTTGAATGCAAACATCACAACTCAGTTGCTGAGAATGCTTCTGACTAGATTTTATGGTAAGATATTTCCTTTTCTACCGTAGGCTTCAATGCCCTCTAAATACACCCTTGCAAATTCTACAAAGAGACTGTTTCATAACTGCTCTATAGGAAGAAAGGTTCAACTCTGTGAGTTGAATGCAGAGATCACAACGTGGTTTCTGCGAATGATTCTTTGTAGTTTTTACATGAAGATATTTCGTTGTCAACCGTAGGCTTCAAAGCACTCAAAGTATTCACTTGGAACTTTTACAAAAAGAGTGTTAGAAAACCGCTCTTTCCAAAGTAAGGTTCAACTCTGTGAGTTGAATGCACCCATAACAATCAAGAAGTTTCTGAGAATTCTTCTGTCCTGGTTTATATGAAGAAATCCCGTTTCCAACGAAGGCCTCAAAGACGTTTAAATATCCACTTGCAGACTTCACAAACAGAGGGTTTCCAAACTGCTCTATGAAAAGAAAGGTTAAACTCTGTGAGTTGAACGCACACATCACAAAGTAGCTTCTGAGAATGATACTGTCTAGTTTTTATACGAAGATATTTCCTTTCTACCATTGGCGTCAAAGCGCTAGAATTCTCCACTTGCAAATTCCACAAAAAGAGTGTTTCCAATCTGCTCTGTCTAAAGGAAGGTTCAACTCTGTGAGTTGAATACACACACACAAAGAAGCTACTGAGAATTCTTTTGTCAAGAATTATAAGAAGAAATCCCGTTTCCAACGAAGGCCTCAAAGAGTTCCAAATATCCACTTGCACACTGCACAAACTAAGTCTTTCCAAACTGCTCTATGCAAAGAAATGTTCAACTCTGTGAGTTTAATACACACATCACAAAGCAGATTCTGAGAATGATACTGTCTAGTTTTTATACGAAGATATTTCCTTTTGTACCATTGGCCTCATACTGCTAGAATTTTCCACTTGCAAATTCCACAAAAAGAGTGTTTCCAATCTGCTCTGTCTAAAGGAAGCTTCAACTCTGTGAGTTGAATACACACACACAAAGAAGCTACTGAGAATTCTTTTGTCAAGAATTATAAGAAGAAATCCCGTTTCCAACGAAGGTCTCAAAGAGTTCCAAATATCCACTTGCACACTGCACAAACTAAGTCTTTCCAAACTGCTCTATGCAAAGAAATGTTCAACTCTGTGAGTTTAATACACACATCACAAAGCAGTTTCTGAGAATGATACTGTCTAGTTTTTATACGAAGATATTTCCTTTTGTACCATTGGCCTCATACTGCTAGAATTTTCCACTTGCAAATTCCACAAAAAGAGTGTTTCCAATCCGCTCTGTCTAAAGGAAGGTTCAACTCTCTGATTTGAATACATACATCCCAAAAGAAGTTACTGAGAATTCTTCTGTCTAGCATTATGTGAAGAAATCCCGTTTCCAACGAAAGCCTCAAAGAGGTCCAAATATCCAGTTGCAGAATTTACAAACTGACTGTTTCCAAACTCATCTATGAAAAGAAAGGTTAAACTCTGGGAGTTGAATGCACATATCACAAAGTAGTTCCTGAGAATGATTCTGTCTAGTTTTCATACGAAGATATTTCCTTTTCCACCAATGGCCTCAAAGTGCTTGAAATCTCCCCTTGCAAATTCCACAGACAAGTGTTTCAAATCTGCACTGTCTAAAGGAAGGTTCAACCCTGTGAGTTGAATACACACACACAGAAAAAAATTCACTGAGAATTCTATTGTCTATCATTACACGAAGAAATCCCGTTTACTACGAAGGCCTCAAAGAGGTCCAAATATCCAGCTGCAGACATTACAAACTGAGTGTTTCCAAAGTGCTCTATGAAAAGAAGTGTTAAACACTGTGAGTTCAATGCACACATCCCAAAGCAGTTTCTGAGAATGATTCCGTCTATTTTCTCTACGAAGATATTTCCTTTTCTGCCGTTGGCCTCAAAGCGCTTGAAATCTCCACTTGCAAATTCCACAAAAAGAGAGTTTCAAATCTGCTCTGTCTAAAGGAAGGTTCAACTCTGTGAGTTGAATACACACCACAAAAAGAAGTTACTGAGAATTCTTCTGTCTAGCATTATATGAAAAATCCCGTTTCCAACGAAGGCCACAAAGAGGTCCAAATATCCACTTGCAGATTCTGCAAAAAGAGTGTTTCCAAACTGCTCTATGAAAAGAAACGTTAAACTCTGTGAGTTGAACGCAAACATCACAAAGTAGTTTCTGAGAATGACTCCGTCTAGTTTTTATACGAAGATATTTCCTTTCCTACCATTCACTTCAAAGCGCTTGAAGTCTCCCCCTGAAAATTCCACAAAAAGTGTTTCCAATCTGCTCCGCCTAAAGGAAGCTTCAACTCTGTGACTTGAATACCCACAACCCAAAGAAGTTACTGAGAATTCTTCTGTCTAGCATTATATGAAGAAATCCCGTTTCCAACGAAGGCCTCAAATACATCCAAATATCCAGTTGCTGACTTTACAAACTGAGTGTTTCCAAACTGCTCTATGAAAAGAAAGGTTACACACTGTGAGTTGAACACACACGTACCAAAGTAGTTTCTGAGAATGATTCTGTCTAGTTTGCATACGAAGATATTTCCTTTTCTACCATTGGCCTCAAAGCTTTGAAATCTCCACTTGCAAATTCCACAAAAAGAGAGTTTCAACTCTGCTGTTTCTAAAGGAAAGTTCAACTCTGAGAGTTGAATACACACCAGGAAAAAGCAGTTACTGAGAAGTCTTCTGTCTAGCATTATATGAAGAAATCCCATTTCCAACGAAGACTTCAAAGAGGTCCAAATATCCACTTGCAGATTCTGCAAAAAGAGTGTTTCGAAACAACTGTATGAAAAGAAAGGTTAAACACTGTGAGTTGAACGCACACATTGCAAAGCAGTTTCTGAGAATGATTCCGTCTAATTCTTATACGAAGGTATTTCCTTTTCTATCATTGGCCTCAAAGCGCTTGATACCTCCACCTGAAAATTCCACAAAAAGAGTGTTTCCAATCTACTCTGTCTAAAGGAACGTTCAACTCTGTGAGTTGAATACACACACACAGAAAGAATTCACTGAGAATTCTTCTGTCTGGCATTACATGAAGAAATCCCGTTTCCAACGAAGGCCTCAAAGAGGTCCAAATATCCACTTGCAGATTCTGCAAAAAGAGTGTTTCAAAACCGCTCCATTAAAAGGAATGTTGAACTCTGTGAGTTGAATGCAAACATCACAACTCAGTTTCTGAGAATGCTTCTGACTAGATTTTATGGTAAGATATTTCCTTTTATACCGTAGGCTTCAATGCCCTCTAAATACACCCTTGCAAATTCTACAAAGAGACTGTTTCATAACTGCTCTATAGGAAGAAAGGTTCAACTCTGTGAGTTGAATGCAGAGATCACAACGTGGTTTCTGCGAATGATTCTTTGTAGTTTTTACATGAAGATATTTCGTTGTCAACCATAGGCTTCAAAGCACTCAAAGTATTCACTTGGAACTTTTACAAAAAGAGTGTTAGAAAACTGCTCTTTCCAAAGTAAGGTTCAACTCTGTGAGTTGAATGCACCCATAACAATCAAGAAGTTTCTGAGAATTCTTCTTTCCTGGTTTATATGAAAAAATCCCGTTTCCAACGAAGGCCTCAAAGACGTTTAAATATCCACTTGCAGACTTCACAAACAGAGGGTTTCCAAACTGCTCTATGAAAAGAAAGGTTAAACTCTGTGAGTTGAACGCAGACATCACAAAGTAGCTTCTGAGAATGATACTGTCTAGTTTTTATACGAAGATATTTCCTTTCTACCATTGGCGTCAAAGCGCTAGAATTCTCCACTTGCAAATTCCACAAAAAGAGTGTTTCCAATCTGCTCTGTCTAAAGGAAGGTTCAACTCTGTGTGTTGAATACACACACACAAAGAAGCTACTGAGAATTCTTTTGTCAAGAATTATAAGAAGAAATCCCGTTTCCAACGAAGGCCTCAAAGAGTTCCAAATATCCACTTGCACACTGCACAAACTAAGTCTTTCCAAACTGCTCTATGCAAAGAAATGTTCAACTCTGTGAGTTTAATACACACATCACAAAGCAGTTTCTGAGAATGATACTGTCTAGTTTTTATACGAAGATATTTCCTTTTGTACCATTGGCCTCATACTGCTAGAATTTTCCACTTGCAAATTCCACAAAAAGAGTGTTTCCAATCCGCTCTGTCTAAAGGAAGGTTCAACTCTCTGATTTGAATACATACATCCCAAAAGAAGTTACTGAGAATTCTTCTGTCTAGCATTATGTGAAGAAATCCCGTTTCCAACGAAAGCCTCAAAGAGGTCCAAATATCCAGTTGCAGAATTTACAAACTGACTGTTTCCAAACTCATCTATGAAAAGAAAGGTTAAACTCTGTGAGTTGAATGCACATATCACAAAGTAGTTCCTGAGAATGATTCTGTCTAGTTTTTATACGAAGATATTTCCTTTTCCACCAATGGCCTCAAAGTGCTTGAAATCTCCCCTTGCAAATTCCACAGACAAGTGTTTCAAATCTGCACTGTCTAAAGGAAGGTTCAACCCTGTGAGTTGAATACACACACACAGAAAAAAATTCACTGAGAATTCTATTGTCTATCATTACACGAAGAAATCCCGTTTACTACGAAGGCCTCAAAGAGGTCCAAATATCCAGCTGCAGACATTATAAACTGAGTGTTTCCAAAGTGCTCTATGAAAAGAAGTGTTAAACACTGTGAGTTCAATGCACACATCCCAAAGCAGTTTCTGAGAATGATTCCGTCTATTTTTTCTACGAAGATATTTCCTTTTCTGCCGTTGGCCTCAAAGCGCTTGAAATCTCCACTTGCAAATTCCACAAAAAGAGAGTTTCAAATCTGCTCTGTCTAAAGGAAGGTTCAACTCTGTGAGTTGAATACACACCACAAAAAGAAGTTACTGAGAATTCTTCTGTCTAGCATTATATGAAAAATCCCGTTTCCAACGAAGGCCACAAAGAGGTCCAAATATCCACTTGCAGATTCTGCAAAAAGAGTGTTTCCAAACTGCTCTATGAAAAGAAACGTTAAACTCTGTGAGTTGAACGCAAACATCACAAAGTAGTTTCTGAGAATGACTCCGTCTAGTTTTTATACGAAGATATTTCCTTTCCTACCATTCACTTCAAAGCGCTTGAAGTCTCCCCCTGAAAATTCCACAAAAAGTGTTTCCAATCTGCTCCGCCTAAAGGAAGCTTCAACTCTGTGAGTTGAATACCCACAACCCTAAGAAGTTACTGAGAATTCTTCTGTCTAGCATTATATGAAGAAATCCCGTTTCCAACGAAGGCCTCAAATACATCCAAATATCCAGTTGCTGACTTTACAAACTGAGTGTTTCCAAACTGCTCTATGAAAAGAAAGGTTAAACACTGTGAGTTGAACACACACGTACCAAAGTAGTTTCTGAGAATGATTCTGTCTAGTTTGCATACGAAGATATTTCCTTTTCTACCATTGGCCTCAAAGCTCTGAAATCTCCACTTGCAAATTCCACAAAAAGAGAGTTTCAAATCTGCTGTTTCTAAAGGAAAGTTCAACTCTGAGAGTTGAATACACACCAGAAAAAGCAGTTACTGAGAAGTCTTCTGTCTAGCATTATATGAAGAAATCCCATTTCCAACGAAGACTTCAAAGAGGTCCAAATATCCACTTGCAGATTCTGCAAAAAGAGTGTTTCGAAACAACTGTATGAAAAGAAAGGTTAAACACTGTGAGTTGAACGCACACATTGCAAAGCGGTTTCTGAGAATGATTCCGTCTAATTATTATACGAAGGTATTTCCTTTTCTATCATTGGCCTCAAAGCGCTTGATACCTCCACCTGAAAATTCCACAAAAAGAGTGTTTCCAATCTACTCTGTCTAAAGGAACGTTCAACTCTGTGAGTTGAATACACACACACAGAAAGAATTCACTGAGAATTCTTCTGTCTGGCATTACATGAAGAAATCCCGTTTCCAACGAAGGCCTCAAAGAGGTCCAAATATCCACTTGCAGATTCTGCAAAAAGAGTGTTTCAAAACCGCTCCATTAAAAGGAATGTTGAACTCTGTGAGTTGAATGCAAACATCACAACTCAGTTGCTGAGAATGCTTCTGACTAGATTTTATGGTAAGATATTTCCTTTTCTACCGTAGGCTTCAATGCCCTCTAAATACACCCTTGCAAATTCTACAAAGAGACTGTTTCATAACTGCTCTATAGGAAGAAAGGTTCAACTCTGTGAGTTGAATGCAGAGATCACAACGTGGTTTCTGCGAATGATTCTTTGTAGTTTTTACATGAAGATATTTCGTTGTCAACCGTAGGCTTCAAAGCACTCAAAGTATTCACTTGGAACTTTTACAAAAAGAGTGTTAGAAAACTGCTCTTTCCAAAGTAAGGTTCAACTCTGTGAGTTGAATGCACACATAACAATCAAGAAGTTTCTGAGAATTCTTCTGTCCTGGTTTATATGAAAAAATCCCGTTTCCAACGAAGGCCTCAAAGACGTTTAAATATCCACTTGCAGACTTCACAAACAGAGGGTTTCCAAACTGCTCTATGAAAAGAAAGGTTAAACTCTGTGAGTTGAACGCACACATCACAAAGTAGCTTCTGAGAATGATACTATCTAGTTTTTATACGAAGATATTTCCTTTCTACCATTGGCGTCAAAGCGCTAGAATTCTCCACTTGCAAATTCCACAAAAAGAGTGTTTCCAATCTGCTCTGTCTCAAGGAAGGTTCAACTCTGTGAGTTGATTACACACACACAAAGAAGCTACTGAGAATTCTTTTGTCAAGAATTATAAGAAGAAATCCCGTTTCCAACGAAGGCCTCAAAGAGTTCCAAATATCCACTTGCACACTGCACAAACTAAGTTTTTCCAAACTGCTCTATGCAAAGAAATGTTCAACTCTGTGAGTTTAATACACACATCACGAAGCAGTTTCTGAGAATGATACTGTCTAGTTTTTATACGAAGATATTTCCTTTTGTACCATTGGCCTCATACTGCTAGAATTTTCCACTTGCAAATTCCACAAAAAGAGTGTTTCCAATCCGCTCTGTCTAAAGGAAGGTTCAACACTCTGATTTGAATACATACATCCCAAAAGAAGTTACTGAGAATTCTTCTGTCTAGCATTATGTGAAGAAATCCCGTTTCCAACGAAAGCCTCAAAGAGGTCCAAATATCCAGTTGCAGAATTTACAAACTGACTGTTTCCAAACTCATCTATGAAAAGAAAGGTTAAACTCTGTGAGTTGAATGCACATATCACAAAGTAGTTCCTGAGAATGATTCTGTCTAGTTTTCATACGAAGATATTTCCTTTTCCACCAATGGCCTCAAAGTGCTTGAAATCTCCCCTTGCAAATTCCACAGACAAGTGTTTCAAATCTGCACTGTCTAAAGGAAGGTTCAACCCTGTGAGTTGAATACACACACACAGAAAAAAATTCACTGAGAATTCTATTGTCTATCATTACACGAAGAAATCCCGTTTACTACGAAGGCCTCAAAGAGGTCCAAATATCCAGCTGCAGACATTACAAACTGAGTGTTTCCAAAGTGCTCTATGAAAAGAAGTGTTAAACACTGTGAGTTCAATGCACACATCCCAAAGCAGTTTCTGAGAATGATTCCGTCTATTTTTTCTACGAAGATATTTCCTTTTCTGCCGTTGGCCTCAAAGCGCTTGAAATCTCCACTTGCAAATTCCACAAAAAGAGAGTTTCAAATCTGCTCTGTCTAAAGGAAGGTTCAACTCTGTGAGTTGAATACACACCACAAAAAGAAGTTACTGAGAATTCTTCTGTCTAGCATTATATGAAAAATCCCGTTTCCAACGAAGGCCACAAAGAGGTCCAAATATCCACTTGCAGATTCTGCAAAAAGAGTGTTTCCAAACTGCTCTATGAAAAGAAACGTTAAACTCTGTGAGTTGAACGCAAACATCACAAAGTAGTTTCTGAGAATGACTCCGTCTAGTTTTTATACGAGGATATTACCTTTCCTAACATTCACTTCAAAGCGCTTGAAGTCTCCCCCTGAAAATTCCACAAAAAGTGTTTCCAATCTGCTCCGCCTAAAGGAAGCTTCAACTCTGTGAGTTGAATACCCACAACCCAAAGAAGTTACTGAGAATTCTTCTGTCTAGCATTATATGAAGAAATCCCGTTTCCAACGAAGGCCTCAAATACATCCAAATATCCAGTTGCTGACTTTACAAACTGAGTGTTTCCAAACTGCTCTATGAAAAGAAAGGTTAAACACTGTGAGTTGAACACACACGTACCAAAGTAGTTTCTGAGAATGATTCTGTCTAGTTTGCATACGAAGATATTTCCTTTTCTACCATTGGCCTCAAAGCTCTGAAATCTCCACTTGCAAATTCCACAAAAAGAGAGTTTCAAATCTGCTGTTTCTAAAGGAAAGTTCAACTCTGAGAGTTGAATACACACCAGAAAAAGCAGTTACTGAGAAGTCTTCTGTCTAGCATTATATGAAGAAATCCCATTTCCAACGAAGACTTCAAAGAGGTCCAAATATCCACTTGCAGATTCTGCAAAAAGAGTGTTTCGAAACAACTGTATGAAAAGAAAGGTTAAACACTGTGAGTTGAACGCACACATTGCAAAGCGGTTTCTGAGAATGATTCCGTCTAATTATTATACGAAGGTATTTCCTTTTCTATCATTGGCCTCAAAGCGCTTGATACCTCCACCTGAAAATTCCACAAAAAGAGTGTTTCCAATCTACTCTGTCTAAAGGAACGTTCAACTCTGTGAGTTGAATACACACACACAGAAAGAATTCACTGAGAATTCTTCTGTCTGGCATTACATGAAGAAATCCCGTTTCCAACGAAGGCCTCAAAGAGGTCCAAATATCCACTTGCAGATTCTGCAAAAAGAGTGTTTCAAAACCGCTCCATTAAAAGGAATGTTGAACTCTGTGAGTTGAATGCAAACATCACAACTCAGTTTCTGAGAATGCTTCTGACTAGATTTTATGGTAAGATATTTCCTTTTCTACCGTAGGCTTCAATGCCCTGTAAATACACCCTTGCAAATTCAACAAAGAGACTGTTTCATAACTGCTCTATAGGAGGAAAGGTTCAACTCTGTGAGTTGAATGCAGAGATCACAACGTGGTTTCTGCGAATGATTCTTTGTAGTTTTTACATGAAGATATTTCGTTGTCTACCGTAGGCTTCAAAGCACTCAAAGTATTCACTTGGAACTTTTACAAAAAGAGTGTTAGAAAACTGCTCTTTCCAAAGTAAGGTTCAACTCTGTGAGTTGAATGCACACATAACAAACAAGAAGTTTCCGAGAATTCTTCTGTCCTGGTTTATATGAAGAAATCCCGTTTCCAACGAAGGCCTCAAAGACTTTTAAATATCCACTTGCAGACTTCACAAACAGAGTGTTTCCAAACTGCTCTATGAAAAGAAAGGGTAAACACTGTGAGTTGAACGCACACCTCACAAAGTAGTTTCTGAGAATGATACTGTCTAGTTTTTATACGAAGATATTTCCTTTTGTACCATTGGCCTCATACTGCTAGAATTTTCCACTTGCAAATTCCACAAAAAGAGTGTTTCCAATCTGCTCTGTCTAAAGGAAGGTTCAACTCTGTGAGTTGAGTACACACACACAAAGAAGCTACTGAGAATTCTTTTGTCAAGAATTATAAGAAGAAATCCCGTTTCCAACCAAGGCCTCAAAGAGTTCCAAATATCCACTTGCACACTGCACAAACTAAGTCTTTCCATACTGCTCTATGCAAAGAAATGTTCAAATCTGTGAGTTTAATACACACATCACAAAGCAGTTTCTGAGAATGATACTGTCTAGTTTTTATACGAAGATATTTCCTTTTGTACCATTGGCCTCATACTGCTAGAATTTTCCACTTGCAAATTCCACAAAAAGAGTGTTTCCAATCCGCTCTGTCTAAAGGAAGGTTCAACTCTCTGATTTGAATACATACATCCCAAAAGAAGTTACTGAGAATTCTTCTGTCTAGCATTATGTGAAGAAATCCCGTTTCCAACGAAAGCCTCAAAGAGGCCCAAATATCCAGTTGCAGAATTTACAAACTGACTGTTTCCAAACTCATCTATGAAAAGAAAGGTTAAACTCTGTGAGTTGAATGCACATATCACAAAGTAGTTCCTGAGAATGATTCTGTCTAGTTTTTATACGAAGATATTTCCTTTTCCACCAATGGCCTCAAAGTGCTTGAAATCTCCCCTTGCAAATTCCACAGACAAGTGTCTCAAATCTGCACTGTCTAAAGGAAGGTTCAACCCTGTGAGTTGAATACACACACACAGAAAAAAATTCACTGAGAATTCTATTGTCTATCATTACACGAAGAAATCCCGTTTACTACGAAGGCCTCAAAGAGGTCCAAATATCCAGCTGCAGACATTACAAACTGAGTGTTTCCAAAGTGCTCTATGAAAAGAAGTGTTAAACACTGTGAGTTCAATGCACACATCCCAAAGCAGTTTCTGAGAATGATTCCGTCTATTTTTTCTACGAAGATATTTCCTTTTCTACCGTTGGCCTCAAAGTGCTTGAAATCTACACTTGCAAATTCCACAAAAAGAGAGTTTCAAATCTGCTCTGTCTAAAGGAAGGTTCAACTCTGTGAGTTGAATACACACCACAAAAAGAAGTTACTGAGAATTCTTCTGTCTAGCATTATATGAAAAATCCCGTTTCCAACGAAGGCCACAAAGAGGTCCAAATATCCACTTGCAGATTCTGCAAAAAGAGTGTTTCCAAACTGCTCTATGAAAAGAAACGTTAAACTCTGTGAGTTGAACGCAAACATCACAAAGTAGTTTCTGAGAATGACTCCGTCTAGTTTTTATACGAAGATATTTCCTTTTCTACCATTCACTTCAAAGCGCTTGAAGTCTCCCCCTGAAAATTCCACAAAAAGTGTTTCCAATCTGCTCCGCCTAAAGGAAGCTTCAACTCTGTGAGTTGAATACCCACAACCCAAAGAAGTTACTGAGAATTCTTCTGTCTAGCACTATATGAAGAAATCCCGTTTCCAACGAAGGCCTCAAATACATCCAAATATCCAGTTGCTGACTTTACAAACTGAGTGTTTCCAAACTGCTCTATGAAAAGAAAGGTTAAACACTGTGAGTTGAACACACACGTACCAAAGTAGTTTCTGAGAATGATTCTGTCTAGTTTGCATACGAAGATATTTCCTTTTCTACCATTGGCCTCAAAGCTCTGAAATCTCCACTTGCAAATTCCACAAAAAGAGAGTTTCAAATCTGCTGTTTCTAAAGGAAAGTTCAACTCTGAGAGTTGAATACACACCAGAAAAAGCAGTTACTGAGAAGTCTTCTGTCTAGCATTATATGAAGAAATCCCATTTCCAACGAAGACTTCAAAGAGGTCCAAATATCCACTTGCAGATTCTGCAAAAAGAGTGTTTCGAAACAACTGTATGAAAAGAAAGGTTAAACACTGTGAGTTGAACGCACACATTGCAAAGCGGTTTCTGAGAATGATTCCGTCTAATTATTATACGAGGTATTTCCTTTTCTATCATTGGCCTCAAAGCGCTTGATACCTCCACCTGAAAATTCCACAAAAAGAGTGTTTCCAATCTACTCTGTCTAAAGGAACGTTCAACTCTGTGAGTTGAATACACACACACAGAAAGAATTCACTGAGAATTCTTCTGTCTGGCATTACATGAAGAAATCCCGTTTCCAACGAAGGCCTCAAAGAGGTCCAAATATCCACTTGCAGATTCTGCAAAAAGAGTGTTTCAAAACCGCTCCATTAAAAGGAATGTTGAACTCTGTGAGTTGAATGCAAACATCACAACTCAGTTTCTGAGAATGCTTCTGACTAGATTTTATGGTAAGATATTTCCTTTTCTACCGTAGGCTTCAATGCCCTCTAAATACACCCTTGCAAATTCTACAAAGAGACTGTTTCATAACTGCTCTATAGGAAGAAAGGTTGAACTCTGTGAGTTGAATGCAGAGATCACAACGTGGTTTCTGCGAATGATTCTTTGTAGTTTTTACATGAAGATATTTCGTTGTCAACCGTAGGCTTCAAAGCACTCAAAGTATTCACTTGGAACTTTTACAAAAAGAGTGTTAGAAAACTGCTCTTTCCAAAGTAAGGTTCAACTCTGTGAGTTGAATGCACACATAACAATCAAGAAGTTTCTGAGAATTCTTCTGTCCTGGTTTATATGAAAAAATCCCGTTTCCAACGAAGGCCTCAAAGACGTTTAAATATCCACTTGCAGACTTCACAAACAGAGGGTTTCCAAACTGCTCTATGAAAAGAAAGGTTAAACTCTGTGAGTTGAACGCACACATCACAAAGTAGCTTCTGAGAATGATACTGTCTAGTTTTTATACGAAGATATTTCCTTTCTACCATTGGCGTCAAAGCGCTAGAATTCTCCACTTGCAAATTCCACAAAAAGAGTGTTTCCAATCTGCTCTGTCTAAAGGAAGGTTCAACTCTGTGAGTTGAATACACACACACAAAGAAGCTACTGAGAATTCTTTTGTCAAGAATTATAAGAAGAAATCCCGTTTCCAACGAAGGCCTCAAAGAGTTCCAAATATCCACTTGCACACTGCACAAACTAAGTCTTTCCAAACTGCTCTATGCAAAGAAATGTTCAACTCTGTGAGTTTAATACACACATCACAAAGCAGTTTCTGAGAATGATACTGTCTAGTTTTTATACGAAGATATTTCCTTTTGTACCATTGGCCTAATACTGCTAGAATTTTCCACTTGCAAATTCCACAAAAAGAGTGTTTCCAATCCGCTCTGTCTAAAGGAAGGTTCAACTCTCTGATTTGAATACATACATCCCAAAAGAAGTTACTGAGAATTCTTCTGTCTAGCATTATGTGAAGAAATCCCGTTTCCAACGAAAGCCTCAAAGAGGTCCAAATATCCAGTTGCAGAATTTACAAACTGACTGTTTCCAAACTCATCTATGAAAAGAAAGGTTAAACTCTGGGAGTTGAATGCACATATCACAAAGTAGTTCCTGAGAATGATTCTGTCTAGTTTTCGTACGAAGATATTTCCTTTTCCACCAATGGCCTCAAAGTGCTTGAAATCTCCCCTTGCAAATTCCACAGACAAGTGTCTCAAATCTGCACTGTCTAAAGGAAGGTTCAACCCTGTGAGTTGAATACACACACACAGAAAAAAATTCACTGAGAATTCTATTGTCTATCATTACACGAAGAAATCCCGTTTACTACGAAGGCCTCAAAGAGGTCCAAATATCCAGCTGCAGACATTACAACCTGAGTGTTTCCAAAGTGCTCTATGAAAAGAAGTGTTAAACACTGTGAGTTCAATGCACACATCCCAAAGCAGTTTCTGAGAATGATTCCGTCTATTTTTTCTACGAAGATATTTCCTTTTCTGCCGTTGGCCTCAAAGCGCTTGAAATCTCCACTTGCAAATTCCACAAAAAGAGAGTTTCAAATCTGCTCTGTCTAAAGGAAGGTTCAACTCTGTGAGTTGAATACACACCACAAAAAGAAGTTACTGAGAATTCTTCTGTCTAGCATTATATGAAAAATCCCGTTTCCAACGAAGGCCACAAAGAGGTCCAAATATCCACTTGCAGATTCTGCAAAAAGAGTGTTTCCAAACTGCTCTATGAAAAGAAACGTTAAACTCTGTGAGTTGAACGCAAACATCACAAAGTAGTTTCTGAGAATGACTCCGTCTAGTTTTTATACGAAGATATTTCCTTTTCTACCATTCACTTCAAAGCGCTTGAAGTCTCCCCCTGAAAATTCCACAAAAAGTGTTTCCAATCTGCTCCGCCTAAAGGAAGCTTCAACTCTGTGAGTTGAATACCCACAACCCAAAGAAGTTACTGAGAATTCTTCTGTCTAGCACTATATGAAGAAATCCCGTTTCCAACGAAGGCCTCAAATACATCCAAATATCCAGTTGCTGACTTTACAAACTGAGTGTTTCCAAACTGCTCTATGAAAAGAAAGGTTAAACACTGTGACTTGAACACACACGTACCAAAGTAGTTTCTGAGAATGATTCTGTCTAGTTTGCATACGAAGATATTTCCTTTTCTACCATTGGCCTCAAAGCTTTGAAATCTCCACTTGCAAATTCCACAAAAAGAGAGTTTCAACTCTGCTGTTTCTAAAGGAAAGTTCAACTCTGAGAGTTGAATACACACCAGAAAAAGCAGTTACTGAGAAGTCTTCTGTCTAGCATTATATGAAGAAATCCCATTTCCAACGAAGACTTCAAAGAGGTCCAAATATCCACTTGCAGATTCTGCAAAAAGAGTGTTTCGAAACAACTGTATGAAAAGAAAGGTTAAATACTGTGAGTTGAACGCACACATTGCAAAGCAGTTTCTGAGAATGATTCCGTCTAATTATTATACGAAGGTATTTCCTTTTCTATCATTGGCCTCAAAGCGCTTGATACCTCCACCTGAAAATTCCACAAAAAGAGTGTTTCCAATCTACTCTGTCTAAAGGAACGTTCAACTCTGTGAGTTGAATACACACACACAGAAAGAATTCACTGAGAATTCTTCTGTCTGGCATTACATGAAGAAATCCCGTTTCCAACGAAGGCCTCAAAGAGGTCCAAATATCCACTTGCAGATTCTGCAAAAAGAGTGTTTCAAAAACGCTCCATTAAAAGGAATGTTGAACTCTGTGAGTTGAATGCAAACATCACAACTCAGTTGCTGAGAATGCTTCTGACTAGATTTTATGGTAAGATATTTCCTTTTCTACCGTAGGCTTCAATGCCCTCTAAATACACCCTTGCAAATTCTACAAAGAGACTGTTTCATAACTGCTCTATAGGAAGAAAGGTTCAACTCTGTGAGTTGAATGCAGAGATCACAACGTGGTTTCTGCGAATGATTTCTTTGTAGTTTTTACATGAAGATATTTCGTTGTCAACCGTAGGCTTCAAAGCACTCAAAGTATTCACTTGGAACTTTTACAAAAAGAGTGTTAGAAAACTGCTCTTTCCAAAGTAAGGTTCAACTCTGTGAGTTGAATGCACACATAACAATCAAGAAGTTTCTGAGAATTCTTCTGTCCTGGTTTATATGAAAAAATCCCGTTTCCAACAAAGGCCACAAAGACGTTTAAATATCCACTTGCAGACTTCACAAACAGAGTGTTTCCAAACTGCTCTATGAAAAGAAAGGTTAAACTCTGTGAGTTGAACGCACACATCACAAAGTAGCTTCTGAGAATGATACTGTCTAGTTTTTATACGAAGATATTTCCTTTCTACCATTGGCGTCAAAGCGCTAGAATTCTCCACTTGCAAATTCCACAAAAAGAGTGTTTCCAATCTGCTCTGTCTAAAGGAAGGTTCAACTCTGTGAGTTGAATACACACACACAAAGAAGCTACTGAGAATTCTTTTGTCAAGAATTATAAGAAGAAATCCCGTTTCCAACGAAGGCCTCAAAGAGTTCCAAATATCCACTTGCACACTGCACAAACTAAGTCTTTCCAAACTGCTCTATGCAAAGAAATGTTCAACACTGTGAGTTTAATACACACATCACAAAGCAGTTTCTGAGAATGATACTGTCTAGTTTTTATACGAAGATATTTCCTTTTGTACCATTGGCCTCATACTGCTAGAATTTTCCACTTGCAAATTCCACAAAAAGAGTGTTTCCAATCCGCTCTGTCTAAAGAAAGGTTCAACTCTCTGATTTGAATACATACATCCCAAAAGAAGTTACTGAGAATTCTTCTGTCTAGCATTATGTGAAGAAATCCCGTTTCCAACGAAAGCCTCAAAGAGGCCCAAATATCCAGTTGCAGCATTTACAAACTGACTGTTTCCAAACTCATCTATGAAAAGAAAGGTTAAACTGTGTGAGTTGAATGCACATATCACAAAGTAGTTCCTGAGAATGATCTGTCTAGTTTTTATACGAAGATATTTCCTTTTCCACCAATGGCCTCAAAGTGCTTGAAATCTCCCCTTGCAAATTCCACAGACAAGTGTTTCAAATCTGCACTGTCTAAAGGAAGGTTCAACCCTGTGAGTTGAATACACACACACAGAAAAAAATTCACTGAGAATTCTATTGTCTATCATTACACGAAGAAATCCCGTTTACTACGAAGGCCTCAAAGAGGTCCAAATATCCAGCTGCAGACATTTCAAACTGAGTGTTTCCAAAGTGCTCTATGAAAAGAAGTGTTAAACACTGTGAGTTCAATGCACACATCCCAAAGCAGTTTCTGAGAATGATTCCGTCTATTTTTTCTACGAAGATATTTCCTTTTCTGCCGTTGGCCTCAAAGCGCTTGAAATCTCCACTTGCAAATTCCACAAAAAGAGAGTTTCAAATCTGCTCTGTCTAAAGGAAGGTTCAACTCTGTGAGTTGAATACACACCACAAAAAGAAGTTACTGAGAATTCTTCTGTCTAGCATTATATGAAAAATCCCGTTTCCAACGAAGGCCACAAAGAGGTCCAAATATCCACTTGCAGATTCTGCAAAAAGAGTGTTTCCAAACTGCTCTATGAAAAGAAACGTTAAACTCTGTGAGTTGAACGCAAACATCACAAAGTAGTTTCTGAGAATGACTCCGTCTAGTTTTTATACGAAGATATTTCCTTTCCTACCATTCACTTCAAAGCGCTTGAAGTCTCCCCCTGAAAATTCCACAAAAAGTGTTTCCAATCTGCTCCGCCTAAAGGAAGCTTCAACTCTGTGACTTGAATACCCACAACCCAAAGAAGTTACTGAGAATTCTTCTGTCTAGCATTATATGAAGAAATCCCGTTTCCAACGAAGGCCTCAAATACATCCAAATATCCAGTTGCTGACTTTACAAACTGAGTGTTTCCAAACTGCTCTATGAAAAGAAAGGTTAAACACTGTGAGTTGAACACACACGTACCAAAGTAGTTTCTGAGAATGATTCTGTCTAGTTTGCATACGAAGATATTTCCTTTTCTACCATTGGCCTCAAAGCTCTGAAATCTCCACTTGCAAATTCCACAAAAAGAGAGTTTCAAATCTGCTGTTTCTAAAGGAAAGTTCAACTCTGAGAGTTGAATACACACCAGAAAAAGCAGTTACTGAGAAGTCTTCTGTCTAGCATTATATGAAGAAATCCCATTTCCAACGAAGACTTCAAAGAGGTCCAAATATCCACTTGCAGATTCTGCAAAAAGAGTGTTTCGAAACAACTGTATGAAAAGAAAGGTTAAACACTGTGAGTTGAACGCACACATTGCAAAGCGGTTTCTGAGAATGATTCCGTCTAATTATTATACGAAGGTATTTCCTTTTCTATCATTGGCCTCAAAGCGCTTGATACCTCCACCTGAAAATTCCACAAAAAGAGTGTTTCCAATCTACTCTGTCTAAAGGAACGTTCAACTCTGTGAGTTGAATACACACACACAGAAAGAATTCACTGAGAATTCTTCTGTCTGGCATTACATGAAGAAATCCCGTTTCCAACGAAGGCCTCAAAGAGGTCCAAATATCCACTTGCAGATTCTGCAAAAAGAGTGTTTCAAAACCGCTCCATTAAAAGGAATGTTGAACTCTGTGAGTTGAATGGAAACATCACAACTCAGTTGCTGAGAATGCTTCTGACTAGATTTTATGGTAAGATATTTCCTTTTATACCGTAGGCTTCAATGCCCTCTAAATACACCCTTGCAAATTCTACAAAGAGACTGTTTCATAACTGCTCTATAGGAAGAAAGGTTCAACTCTGTGAGTTGAATGCAGAGATCACAACGTGGTTTCTGCGAATGATTCTTTGTAGTTTTTACATGAAGATATTTCGTTGTCAACCGTAGGCTTCAGAGCACTCAAAGTATTCACTTGGAACTTTTACAAAAAGAGTGTTAGAAAACTGCTCTTTCCAAAGTAAGGTTCAACTCTGTGAGTTGAATGCACACATAACAATCAAGAAGTTTCTGAGAATTCTTCTGTCCTGGTTTATATGAAAAAATCCCGTTTCCAACGAAGGCCTCAAAGACGTTTAAATATCCACTTGCAGACTTCACAAACAGAGGGTTTCCAAACTGCTCTATGAAAAGAAAGGTTAAACTCTGTGAGTTGAACGCACACATCACAAAGTAGCTTCTGAGAATGATACTGTCTAGTTTTTATACGAAGATATTTCCTTTCTACCATTGGCGTCAAAGCGCTAGAATTCTCCACTTGCAAATTCCACAAAAAGAGTGTTTCCAATCTGCTCTGTCTAAAGGAAGGTTCAACTCTGTGAGTTGAATACACACACACAAAGAAGCTACTGAGAATTCTTTTTTCAAGAAATTATAAGAAGAAATCCCGTTTCCAACGAAGGCCTCAAAGAGTTCCAAATATCCACTTGCACACTGCACAAACTAAGTCTTTCCAAACTGCTCTATGCAAAGAAATGTTCAACTCTGTGAGTTTAATACACACATCACAAAGCAGTTTCTGAGAATGATACTGTCTAGTTTTTATACGAAGATATTTCCTTTTGTACCATTGGCCTCATACTGCTAGAATTTTCCACTTGCAAATTCCACAAAAAGAGTGTTTCCAATCCGCTCTGTCTAAAGGAAGGTTCAACTCTCTGATTTGAATACATACATCCCAAAAGAAGTTACTGAGAATTCTTCTGTCTAGCATTATGTGAAGAAATCCCGTTTCCAACGAAAGCCTCAAAGAGGTCCAAATATCCAGTTGCAGAATTTACAAACTGACTGTTTCCAAACTCATCTATGAAAAGAAAGGTTAAACTCTGTGAGTTGAATGCACATATCACAAAGTAGTTCCTGAGAATGATTCTGTCTAGTTTTTATACGAAGATATTTCCTTTTCCACCAATGGCCTCAAAGTGCTTGAAATCTCCCCTTGCAATTTCCACAGACAAGTGTTTCAAATCTGCACTGTCTAAAGGAAGGTTCAACCCTGTGAGTTGAATACACACACACAGAAAAAAATTCACTGAGAATTCTATTGTCTATCATTACACGAAGAAATCCCGTTTACTACGAAGGCCTCAAAGAGGTCCAAATATCCAGCTGCAGACATTACAAACTGAGTGTTTCCAAAGTGCTCTATGAAAAGAAGTGTTAAACACTGTGAGTTCAATGCACACATCCCAAAGCAGTTTCTGAGAATGATTCCGTCTATTTTTTCTACGAAGATATTTCCTTTTCTACCATTGACCTCAAAGCGCTTGAAATCTCCACTTGCAAATTCCACAAAAAGAGAGTTTCAAATCTGCTCTGTCTAAAGGAAAGTTGAACTCTGTGAGTTGAATACACACCACAAAAAGAAGTTACTGAGAATTCTTCTGTCTAGCATTATATGAAAAATCCCGTTTCCAACGAAGGCCACAAAGAGGTCCAAATATCCACTTGCAGATTCTGCAAAAAGAGTGTTTCCAAACTGCTCTATGAAAAGAAACGTTAAACTCTGTGAGTTGAACCGCAAACATCACAAAGTAGTTTCTGAGAATGACTCCGTCTAGTTTTTATACGAAGATATTTCTTTTTCTACCATTCACTTCAAAGCGCTTGAAGTCTCCCCCTGAAAATTCCACAAAAAGTGTTTCCAATCTGCTCCGCCTAAAGGAAGCTTCAACTCTGTGAGTTGAATACCCACAACCCTAAGAAGTTACTGAGAATTCTTCTGTCTAGCATTATATGAAGAAATCCCGTTTCCAACGAAGGCCTCAAATACATCCAAATATCCAGTTGCTGACTTCACAAACTGAGTGTTTCCAAACTGCTCTATGAAAAGAAAGGTTAAACACTGTGAGTTGAACACACACGTACCAAAGTAGTTTCTGAGAATGATTCTGTCTAGTTTGCATACGAAGATATTTCCTTTTCTACCATTGGCCTCAAAGCTTTGAAATCTCCACTTGCAAATTCCACAAAAAGAGAGTTTCAACTCTGCTGTTTCTAAAGGAAAGTTCAACTCTGAGAGTTGAATACACACCAGAAAAAGCAGTTACTGAGAAGTCTTCTGTCTAGCATTATATGAAGAAATCCCATTTCCAACGAAGACTTCAAAGAGGTCCAAATATCCACTTGCAGATTCTGCAAAAAGAGTGTTTCGAAACAACTGTATGAAAAGAAAGGTTAAACACTGTGAGTTGAACGCACACATTGCAAAGCAGTTTCTGAGAATGATTCCGTCTAATTATTATACGAAGGTATTTCCTTTTCTATCATTGGCCTCAAAGCGCTTGATACCTCCACCTGAAAATTCCACAAAAAGAGTGTTTCCAATCTACTCTGTCTAAAGGAACGTTCAACTCCGTGAGTTGAATACACACACACAGAAAGAATTCACTGAGAATTCTTCTGTCTGGCATTACATGAAGAAATCCCGTTTCCAACGAAGGCCTCAAAGAGGTCCAAATATCCACTTGCAGATTCTGCAAAAAGAGTGTTTCAAAACCGCTCCATTAAAAGGAATGTTGAACTCTGTGAGTTGAATGCAAACATCACAACTCAGTTTCTGAGAATGCTTCTGACTAGATTTTATGGTAAGATATTTCCTTTTCTACCGTAGGCTTCAATGCCCTGTAAATACACCCTTGCAAATTCTACAAAGAGACTGTTTCATAACTGCTCTATAGGAGGAAAGGTTCAACTCTGTGAGTTGAATGCAGAGATCACAACGTGGTTTCTGCGAATGATTCTTTGTAGTTTTTACATGAAGATATTTCGTTGTCTACCGTAGGCTTCAAAGCACTCAAAGTATTCACTTGGAACTTTTACAAAAAGAGTGTTAGAAAACTGCTCTTTCCAAAGTAAGGTTCAACTCTGTGAGTTGAATGCACACATAACAAACAAGAAGTTTCTGAGAATTCTTCTGTCCTGGTTTATATGAAGAAATCCCGTTTCCAACGAAGGCCTCAAAGACGTTTAAATATCCACTTGCAGACTTCACAAACAGAGTGTTTCCAAACTGCTCTATGAAAAGAAAGGGTAAACACTGTGAGTTGAACGCACACCTCACAAAGTAGTTTCTGAGAATGATACTGTCTAGTTTTTATACGAAGATATTTCCTTTTGTACCATTGGCCTCATACTGCTAGAATTTTCCACTTGCAAATTCCACAAAAAGAGTGTTTCCAATCTGCTCTGTCTAAAGGAAGGTTCAACTCTGTGAGTTGAGTACACACACACAAAGAAGCTACTGAGAATTCTTTTGTCAAGAATTATAAGAAGAAATCCCGTTTCCAACCAAGGCCTCAAAGAGTTCCAAATATCCACTTGCACACTGCACAAACTAAGTCTTTCCATACTGCTCTATGCAAAGAAATGTTCAACTCTGTGAGTTTAATACACACATCACAAAGCAGTTTCTGAGAATGATACTGTCTAGTTTTTATACGAAGATATTTCCTTTTGTACCATTGGCCTCATACTGCTAGAATTTTCCACTTGCAAATTCCACAAAAAGAGTGTTTCCAATCCGCTCTGTCTAAAGGAAGGTTCAACTCTCTGATTTGAATACATACATCCCAAAAGAAGTTACTGAGAATTCTTCTGTCTAGCATTATGTGAAGAAATCCCGTTTCCAACGAAAGCCTCAAAGAGGTCCAAATATCCAGTTGTAGAATTTACAAACTGACTGTTTCCAAACTCATCTATGAAAAGAAAGGTTAAACTTCTGGGAGTTGAATGCCCATATCACAAAGTAGTTCCTGAGAATGATCTGTCTAGTTTTTATACGAAGTTATTTCCTTTTCCACCAATGGCCTCAAAGTGCTTGAAATCTCCCCTTGCAAATTCCACAGACAAGTGTTTCAAATCTGCACTGTCTAAAGGAAGGTTCAACCCTGTGAGTTGAATACACACACACAGAAAAAAATTCACTGAGAATTCTATTGTCTATCATTACACGAAGAAATCCCGTTTACTACGAAGGCCTCAAAGAGGTCCAAATATCCAGCTGCAGACATTACAAACTGAGTGTTTCCAAAGTGCTCTATGAAAAGAAGTGTTAAACACTGTGAGTTCAATGCACACATCCCAAAGCAGTTTCTGAGAATGATTCCGTCTATTTTTTCTACGAAGATATTTCCTTTTCTGCCGTTGGCCTCAAAGCGCTTGAAATCTCCACTTGCAAATTCCACAAAAAGAGAGTTTCAAATCTGCTCTGTCTAAAGGAAGGTTCAACTCTGTGAGTTGAATACACACCACAAAAAGAAGTTACTGAGAATTCTTCTGTCTAGCATTATATGAAAAATCCCGTTTCCAACGAAGGCCACAAAGAGGTCCAAATATCCACTTGCAGATTCTGCAAAAAGAGTGTTTCCAAACTACTCTATGAAAAGAAACGTTAAACTCTGTGAGTTGAACGCAAACATCACAAAGTAGTTTCTGAGAATGACTCCGTCTAGTTTTTATACCGAAGATATTTCCTTTTCTACCATTCACTTCAAAGCGCTTGAAGTCTCCCCCTGAAAATTCCACAAAAAGTGTTTCCAATCTGCTCCGCCTAAAGGAAGCTTCAACTCTGTGAGTTGAATACCCACAACCCAAAGAAGTTACTGAGAATTCTTCTGTCTAGCATTATATGAAGAAATCCCGTTTCCAACGAAGGCCTCAAATACATCCAAATATCCAGTTGCTGACTTTACAAACTGAGTGTTTCCAAACTGCTCTATGAAAAGAAAGGTTAAACACTGTGAGTTGAACACACACGTACCAAAGTAGTTTCTGAGAATGATTCTGTCTAGTTTGCATACGAAGATATTTCCTTTTCTACCATTGGCCTCAAAGCTCTGAAATCTCCACTTGCAAATTCCACAAAAAGAGAGTTTCAAATCTGCTGTTTCTAAAGGAAAGTTCAACTCTGAGAGTTGAATACACACCAGAAAAAGCAGTTACTGAGAAGTCTTCTGTCTAGCATTATATGAAGAAATCCCATTTCCAACGAAGACTTCAAAGAGGTCCAAATATCCACTTGCAGATTCTGCAAAAAGAGTGTTTCGAAACAACTGTATGAAAAGAAAGGTTAAACACTGTGAGTTGAACGCACACATTGCAAAGCGGTTTCTGAGAATGATTCCGTCTAATTATTATACGAAGGTATTTCCTTTTCTATCATTGGCCTCAAAGCGCTTGATACCTCCACCTGAAAATTCCACAAAAAGAGTGTTTCCAATCTACTCTGTCTAAAGGAACGTTCAACTCTGTGAGTTGAATACACACACACAGAAAGAATTCACTGAGAATTCTTCTGTCTGGCATTACATGAAGAAATCCCGTTTCCAACGAAGACCTCAAAGAGGTCCAAATATCCACTTGCAGATTCTGCAAAAAGAGTGTTTCAAAACCGCTCCATTAAAAGGAATGTTGAACTCTGTGAGTTGAATGCAAACATCACAACTCAGTTTCTGAGAATGCTTCTGACTAGATTTTATGGTAAGATATTTCCTTTTCTACCGTAGGCTTCAATGCCCTCTAAATACACCCTTGCAAATTCTACAAAGAGACTGTTTCATAACTGCTCTATAGGAAGAAAGGTTGAACTCTGTGAGTTGAATGCAGAGATCACAACGTGGTTTCTGCGAATGATTCTTTGTAGTTTTTACATGAAGATATGTCGTTGTCAACCGTAGGCTTCAAAGCACTCAAAGTATTCACTTGGAACTTTTACAAAAAGAGTGTTAGAAAACTGCTCTTTCCAAAGTAAGGTTCAACTCTGTGAGTTGAATGCACACATAACAATCAAGACGTTTCTGAGAATTCTTCTGTCCTGGTTTATATGAAAAAATCCCGTTTCCAACGAAGGCCTCAAAGACGTTTAAATATCCACTTGCAGACTTCACAAACAGAGGGTTTCCAAACCGCTCTATGAAAAGAAAGGTTAAACTCTGTGAGTTGAACGCACACATCACAAAGTAGCTTCTGAGAATGATACTGTCTAGTTTTTATACGAAGATATTTCCTTTCTACCATTGGCGTCAAAGCGCTAGAATTCTCCACTTGCAAATTCCACAAAAAGAGTGTTTCCAATCTGCTCTGTCTAAAGGAAGGTTCAACTCTGTGAGTTGAATACACACACACAAAGAAGCTACTGAGAATTCTTTTGTCAAGAATTATAAGAAGAAATCCCGTTTCCAACGAAGGCCTCAAAGAGTTCCAAATATCCACTTGCACACTGCACAAACTAAGTCTTTCCAAACTGCTCTATGCAAAGAAATGTTCAACTCTGTGAGTTTAATACACACATCACAAAGCAGTTTCTGAGAATGATACTGTCTAGTTTTTATACGAAGATATTTCCTTTTGTACCATTGGCCTCATACTGCTAGAATTTTCCACTTGCAAATTCCACAAAAAGAGTGTTTCCAATCCGCTCTGTCTAAAGGAAGGTTCAACTCTCTGATTTGAATACATACATCCCAAAAGAAGTTACTGAGAATTCTTCTGTCTAGCATTATGTGAAGAAATCCCGTTTCCAACGAAAGCCTCAAAGAGGTCCAAATATCCAGTTGCAGAATTTACAAACTGACTGTTTCCAAACTCATCTATGAAAAGAAAGGTTAAACTCTGGGAGTTGAATGCACATATCACAAAGTAGTTCCTGAGAATGATTCTGTCTAGTTTTTATACGAAGATATTTCCTTTTCCACCAATGGCCTCAAAGTGCTTGAAATCTCCCCTTGCAAATTCCACAGACAAGTGTTTCAAATCTACACTGTCTAAAGGAAGGTTCAACCCTGTGAGTTGAATACACACACACAGAAAAAAATTCACTGAGAATTCTATTGTCTATCATTACACGAAGAAATCCCGTTTACTACGAAGGCCTCAAAGAGGTCCAAATATCCAGCTGCAGACATTACAAACTGAGTGTTTCCAAAGTGCTCTATGAAAAGAAGTGTTAAACACTGTGAGTTCAATGCACACATCCCAAAGCAGTTTCTGAGAATGATTCCGTCTATTTTTTCTACGAAGATATTTCCTTTTCTGCCGTTGGCCTCAAAGCGCTTGAAATCTCCACTTGCAAATTCCACAAAAAGAGAGTTTCAAATCTGCTCTGTCTAAAGGAAGGTTCAACTCTGTGAGTTGAATACACACCACAAAAAGAAGTTACTGAGAATTACTTCTGTCTAGCATTATATGAAAAATCCCGTTTCCAACGAAGGCCACAAAGAGGTCCAAATATCCACTTGCAGATTCTGCAAAAAGAGTGTTTCCAAACTGCTCTATGAAAAGAATCGTTAAACTCTGTGAGTTGAACGCAAACATCACAAAGTAGTTTCTGAGAATGACTCCGTCTAGTTTTTATACGAAGATATTTCCTTTTCTACCATTCACTTCAAAGCGCTTGAAGTCTCCCCCTGAAAATTCCACAAAAAGTGTTTCCAATCTGCTCCGCCTAAAGGAAGCTTCAACTCTGTGAGTTGAATACCCACAACCCAAAGAAGTTACTGAGAATTCTTCTGTCTAGCATTATATGAAGAAATCCCGTTTCCAACGAAGGCCTCAAATACATCCAAATATCCAGTTGCTGACTTTACAAACTGAGTGTTTCCAAACTGCTCTATGAAAAGAAAGGTTAAACACTGTGAGTTGAACACACACGTACCAAAGTAGTTTCTGAGAATGATTCTGTCTAGTTTGCATACGAAGATATTTCCTTTTCTACCATTGGCCTCAAAGCTTTGAAATCTCCACTTGCAAATTCCACAAAAAGAGAGTTTCAACTCTGCTGTTTCTAAAGGAAAGTTCAACTCTGAGAGTTGAATACACACCAGAAAAAGCAGTTACTGAGAAGTCTTCTGTCTAGCATTATATGAAGAAATCCCATTTCCAACGAAGACTTCAAAGAGGTCCAAATATCCACTTGCAGATTCTGCAAAAAGAGTGTTTCGAAACAACTGTATGAAAAGAAAGGTTAAACACTGTGAGTTGAACGCACACATTGCAAAGCAGTTTCTGAGAATGATTCCGTCTAATTATTATACGAAGGTATTTCCTTTTCTATCATTGGCCTCAAAGCGCTTGATACCTCCACCTGAAAATTCCACAAAAAGAGTGTTTCCAATCTACTCTGTCTAAAGGAACGTTCAACTCTGTGAGTTGAATACACACACACAGAAAGAATTCACTGAGAATTCTTCTGTCTGGCATTACATGAAGAAATCCCGTTTCCAACGAAGGCCTCAAAGAGGTCCAAATATCCACTTGCAGATTCTGCAAAAAGAGTGTTTCAAAACCGCTCCATTAAAAGGAATGTTGAACTCTGTGAGTTGAATGCAAACATCACAACTCAGTTTCTGAGAATGCTTCTGACTAGATTTTATGGTAAGATATTTCCTTTTCTACCGTAGGCTTCAATGCCCTCTAAATACACCCTTGCAAATTCTACAAAGAGACTGTTTCATAACTGCTCTATAGGAAGAAAGGTTGAACTCTGTGAGTTGACTGCAGAGATCACAACGTGGTTTCTGCGAATGATTCTTTGTAGTTTTTACATGAAGATATTTCGTTGTCAACCGTAGGCTTCAAAGCACTCAAAGTATTCACTTGGAACTTTTACAAAAAGAGTGTTAGAAAACTGCTCTTTCCAAAGTAAGGTTCAACTCTGTGAGTTGAATGCACACATAACAATCAAGAAGTTTCTGAGAATTCTTCTGTCCTGGTTTATATGAAAAAATCCCGTTTCCAACGAAGGCCTCAAAGACGTTTAAATATCCACTTGCAGACTTCACAAACAGAGGGTTTCCAAACTGCTCTATGAAAAGAAAGGTTAAACTCTGTGAGTTGAACGCACACATCACAAAGTAGCTTCTGAGAATGATACTGTCTAGTTTTTATACGAAGATATTTCCTTTCTACCATTGGCGTCAAAGCGCTAGAATTCTCCACTTGCAAATTCCACAAAAAGAGTGTTTCCAATCTGCTCTGTCTAAAGGAAGGTTCAACTCTGTGAGTTGAATACACACACACAAAGAAGCTACTGAGAATTCTTTTGTCAAGAATTATAAGAAGAAATCCCGTTTCCAACGAAGGCCTCAAAGGGTTACAAATATCCACTTGCACACTGCAAAAACTAAGTCTTTCCAAACTGCTCTATGCAAAGAAATGTTCAACTCTGTGAGTTTAATACACACATCACAAAGCAGTTTCTGAGAATGATACTGTCTAGTTTTTATACGAAGATATTTCCTTTTGTACCATTGGCCTCATACTGCTAGAATTTTCCACTTGCAAATTCCACAAAAAGAGTGTTTCCAATCCGCTCTGTCTAAAGGAAGGTTCAACTCTGTGATTTGAATACATACATCCCAAAAGAAGTTACTGAGAATTCTTCTGTCTAGCATTATGTGAAGAAATCCCGTTTCCAACGAAAGCCTCAAAGAGGCCCAAATATCCAGTTGCAGCATTTACAAACTGACTGTTTCCAAACTCATCTATGAAAAGAAAGGTTAAACTCTGTGAGTTGAATGCACATATCACAAAGTAGTTCCTGAGAATGATTCTGTCTAGTTTTTATACGAAGATATTTCCTTTTCCACCAATGGCCTCAAAGTGCTTGAAATCTCCCCTTGCAAATTCCACAGACAAGTGTCTCAAATCTGCACTGTCTAAAGGAAGGTTCAACCCTGTGAGTTGAATACACACACACAGAAAAAAATTCACTGAGAATTCTATTGTCTATCATTACACGAAGAAATCCCGTTTACTACGAAGGCCTCAAAGAGGTCCAAATATCCAGCTGCAGACATTACAACCTGAGTGTTTCCAAAGTGCTCTATGAAAAGAAGTGTTAAACACTGTGAGTTCAATGCACACATCCCAAAGCAGTTTCTGAGAATGATTCCGTCTATTTTTTCTACGAAGATATTTCCTTTTCTGCCGTTGGCCTCAAAGCGCTTGAAATCTCCACTTGCAAATTCCACAAAAAGAGAGTTTCAAATCTGCTCTGTCTAAAGGAAGGTTCAACTCTGTGAGTTGAATACACACCACAAAAAGAAGTTACTGAGAATTCTTCTGTCTAGCATTATATGAAAAATCCCGTTTCCAACGAAGGCCACAAAGAGGTCCAAATATCCACTTGCAGATTCTGCAAAAAGAGTGTTTCCAAACTGCTCTATGAAAAGAAACGTTAAACTCTGTGAGTTGAACGCAAACATCACAAAGTAGTTTCTGAGAATGACTCCGTCTAGTTTTTATACGAAGATATTTCCTTTCCTACCATTCACTTCAAAGCGCTTGAAGTCTCCCCCTGAAAATTCCACAAAAAGTGTTTCCAATCTGCTCCGCCTAAAGGAAGCTTCAACTCTGTGACTTGAATACCCACAACCCAAAGAAGTTACTGAGAATTCTTCTGTCTAGCATTATATGAAGAAATCCCGTTTCCAACGAAGGCCTCAAATACATCCAAATATCCAGTTGCTGACTTTACAAACTGAGTGTTTCCAAACTGCTCTATGAAAAGAAAGGTTAAACACTGTGAGTTGAACACACACGTACCAAAGTAGTTTCTGAGAATGATTCTGTCTAGTTTGCATACGAAGATATTTCCTTTTCTACCATTGGCCTCAAAGCTCTGAAATCTCCACTTGCAAATTCCACAAAAAGAGAGTTTCAAATCTGCTGTTTCTAAAGGAAAGTTCAACTCTGAGAGTTGAATACACACCAGAAAAAGCAGTTACTGAGAAGTCTTCTGTCTAGCATTATATGAAGAAATCCCATTTCCAACGAAGACTTCAAAGAGGTCCAAATATCCACTTGCAGATTCTGCAAAAAGAGTGTTTCGAAACAACTGTATGAAAAGAAAGGTTAAACACTGTGAGTTGAACGCACACATTGCAAAGCGGTTTCTGAGAATGATTCCGTCTAATTATTATACGAAGGTATTTCCTTTTCTATCATTGGCCTCAAAGCGCTTGATACCTCCACCTGAAAATTCCACAAAAAGAGTGTTTCCAATCTACTCTGTCTAAAGGAACGTTCAACTCTGTGAGTTGAATACACACACACAGAAAGAATTCACTGAGAATTCTTCTGTCTGGCATTACATGAAGAAATCCCGTTTGCAACGAAGGCCTCAAAGAGGTCCAAATATCCACTTGCAGATTCTGCAAAAAGAGTGTTTCAAAACCGCTCCATTAAAAGGAATGTTGAACTCTGTGAGTTGAATGCAAACATCACAACTCAGTTTCTGAGAATGCTTCTGACTAGATTTTATGGTAAGATATTTCCTTTTCTACCGTAGGCTTCAATGCCCTCTAAATACACCCTTGCAAATTCTACAAAGAGACTGTTTCATAACTGCTCTATAGGAAGAAAGGTTGAACTCTGTGAGTTGAATGCAGAGATCACAACGTGGTTTCTGCGAATGATTCTTTGTAGTTTTTACATGAAGATATTTCGTTGTCAACCGTAGGCTTCAAAGCACTCAAAGTATTCACTTGGAACTTTTACAAAAAGAGTGTTAGAAAACTGCTCTTTCCAAAGTAAGGTTCAACTCTGTGAGTTGAATGCACACATAACAATCAAGAAGTTTCTGAGAATTCTTCTGTCCTGGTTTATATGAACAAATCCCGTTTCCAACGAAGGCCTCAAAGCACGTTTAAATATATACCTGCAGACTTCACAAACAGAGTGTTTCCAAACTGCTCTATGAAAAGAAAGGTTAAACTCTGTGAGTTGAACGCACACATCACAAAGTAGTTTCTGAGAATGATAACTGTCTAGTTTTTATACGAAGATATTTCCTTTCTACCATTGGCGTCAAAGCGCTAGAATTCTCCACTTGCAAATTCCACAAAAAGAGTGTTTCCAATCTGCTCTGTCTAAAGGAAGGTTCAACTCTGTGAGTTGAATACACACACACAAAGAAGCTACTGAGAATTCTTTTGTCAAGAATTATAAGAAGAAATCCCGTTTCCAACGAAGGCCTCAAAGGGTTCCAAATATCCACTTGCACACTGCACAAACTAAGTCTTTCCAAACTGCTCTATGCAAAGAAATGTTCAACTCTGTGAGTTTAATACACACATCACAAAGCAGTTTCTGAGAATGATTACTGTCTAGTTTTTATACGAAAGATATTTCCTTTTGTACCATTGGCCTCATACTGCTAGAATTTTCCACTTGCAAATTCCACAAAAAGAGTGTTTCCAATCCGCTCTGTCTAAAGGAAGGTTCAACTCTCTGATTTGAATACATACATCCCAAAAGAAGTTCCTGAGAATTCTTCTGTCTAGCATTATGTGAAGAAATCCCGTTTCCAACGAAAGCCTCAAAGAGGTCCAAATATCCAGTTGCAGAATTTACAAACTGACTGTTTCCAAACTCATCTATGAAAAGAAAGGTTAAACTCTGGGAGTTGAATGCCCATATCACAAAGTAGTTCCTGAGAATGATTCTGTATAGTTTTCATACGAAGATATTTCCTTTTCCACCAATGGCCTCAAAGTGCTTGAAATCTCCCCTTGCAAATTCCACAGACAAGTGTTTCAAATCTGCACTGTCTAAAGGATGGTTCAACCCTGTGAGTTGAATACACACACACAGAAAAAAATTCACTGAGAATTCTATTGTCTATCATTACACGAAGAAATCCCGTTTACTACGAAGGCCTCAAAGAGGTCCAAATATCCAGCTGCAGACATTATAAACTGAGTGTTTCCAAAGTGCTCTATGAAAAGAAGTGTTAAACACTGTGAGTTCAATGCACACATCCCAAAGCAGTTTCTGAGAATGATTCCGTCTATTTTTTCTACGAAGATATTTCCTTTTCTGCCGTTGGCCTCAAAGCGCTTGAAATCTCCACTTGCAAATTCCACAAAAAGAGAGTTTCAAATCTGCTCTGTCTAAAGGAAGGTTCAACTCTGTGAGTTGAATACACACCACAAAAAGAAGTTACTGAGAATTCTTCTGTCTAGCATTATATGAAAAATCCCGTTTCCAACGAAGGCCACAAAGAGGTCCAAATATCCACTTGCAGATTCTGCAAAAAGAGTGTTTCCAAACTGCTCTATGAAAAGAAACGTTAAACTCTGTGAGTTGAACGCAAACATCACAAAGTAGTTTCTGAGAATGACTCCGTCTAGTTTTTATACGAAGATATTTCCTTTCCTACCATTCACTTCAAAGCGCTTGAAGTCTCCCCCTGAAAATTTCACAAAAAGTGTTTCCAATCTGCTCCGCCTAAAGGAAGCTTCAACTCTGTGAGTTGAATACCCACAACCCAAAGAAGTTACTGAGAATTCTTCTGTCTAGCATTATATGAAGAAATCCCGTTTCCAACGAAGGCCTCAAATACATCCAAATATCCAGTTGCTGACTTTACAAACTGAGTGTTTCCAAACTGCTCTATGAAAAGAAAGGTTAAACACTGTGAGTTGAACACACACGTACCAAAGTAGTTTCTGAGAATGATTCTGTCTAGTTTGCATACGAAGATATTTCCTTTTCTACCATTGGCCTCAAAGCTCTGAAATCTCCACTTGCAAATTCCACAAAAAGAGAGTTTCAAATCTGCTGTTTCTAAAGGAAAGTTCAACTCTGAGAGTAGAATACACACCAGAAAAAGCAGTTACTGAGAAGTCTTCTGTCTAGCATTATATGAAGAAATCCCATTTCCAACGAAGACTTCAAAGAGGTCCAAATATCCACTTGCAGATTCTGCAAAAAGAGTGTTTCGAAACAACTGTATGAAAAGAAAGGTTAAACACTGTGAGTTGAACGCACACATTGCAAAGCAGTTTCTGAGAATGATTCCGTCTAATTATTATACGAAGGTATTTCCTTTTCTATCATTGGCCTCAAAGCGCTTGATACCTCCACCTGAAAATTCCACAAAAAGAGTGTTTCCAATCTACTCTGTCTAAAGGAACGTTCAACTCTGTGAGTTGAATACACACACACAGAAAGAATTCACTGAGAATTCTTCTGTCTGGCATTACATGAAGAAATCCCGTTTCCAACGAAGGCCTCAAAGAGGTCCAAATATCCACTTGCAGATTCTGCAAAAAGAGTGTTTCAAAACCGCTCCATTAAAAGGAATGTTGAACTCTGTGAGTTGAATGCAAACATCACAACTCAGTTGCTGAGAATGCTTCTGACTAGATTTTATGGTAAGATATTTCCTTTTCTACCGTAGGCTTCAATGCCCTCTAAATACACCCTTGCAAATTCTACAAAGAGACTGTTTCATAACTGCTCTATAGGAAGAAAGGTTGAACTCTGTGAGTTGAATGCAGAGATCACAACGTGGTTTCTGCGAATGATTCTTTGTAGTTTTTACATGAAGATATTTCGTTGTCAACCGTAGGCTTCAAAGCACTCAAAGTATTCACTTGGAACTTTTACAAAACGAGTGTTAGGAAACTGCTCTTTCCAAAGTAAGGTTCAACTCTGTGAGTTGAATGCACACATAACAATCAAGAAGTTTCTGAGAATTCTTCTGTCCTGGTTTATATGAAAAAATCCCGTTTCCAACGAAGGCCTCAAAGACGTTTAAATATCCACTTGCAGACTTCACAAACAGAGGGTTTCCAAACTGCTCTATGAAAAGAAAGGTTAAACTCTGTGAGTTGAACGCACACATCACAAAGTAGCTTCTGAGAATGATACTGTCTAGTTTTTATACGAAGATATTTCCTTTCTACCATTGGCGTCAAAGCGCTAGAATTCTCCCCTTGCAAATTCCACAAAAAGAGTGTTTCCAATCTGCTCTGTCTAAAGGAAGGTTCAACTCTGTGAGTTGAATACACACACACAAAGAAGCTACTGAGAATTCTTTTGTCAAGAATTATAAGAAGAAATCCCGTTTCCAACGAAGGCCTCAAAGAGTTCCAAATATCCACTTGCACACTGCACAAACTAAGTCTTTCCAAACTGCTCTATGCAAAGAAATGTTCAACTCTGTGAGTTTAATACACACATCACAAAGCAGTTTCTGAGAATGATACTGTCTAGTTTTTATACGAAGATATTTCCTTTTGTACCATTGGCCTCATACTGCTAGAATTTTCCACTTGCAAATTCCACAAAAAGAGTGTTTCCAATCCGCTCTGTCTAAAGGAAGGTTCAACTCTCTGATTTGAATACATACATCCCAAAAGAAGTTCCTGAGAATTCTTCTGTCTAGCATTATGTGAAGAAATCCCGTTTCCAACGAAAGCCTCAAAGAGGTCCAAATATCCAGTTGCAGAATTTACAAACTGACTGTTTCCAAACTCATCTATGAAAAGAAAGGTTAAACTCTGGGAGTTGAATGCACATATCACAAAGTAGTTCCTGAGAATGATTCTGTCTAGTTTTCATACGAAGATATTTCCTTTTCCACCAATGGCCTCAAAGTGCTTGAAATCTCCCCTTGCAAATTCCACAGACAAGTGTCTCAAATCTGCACTGTCTAAAGGAAGGTTCAACCCTGTGAGTTGAATACACACACACAGAAAAAAATTCACTGAGAATTCTATTGTCTATCATTACACGAAGAAATCCCGTTTACTACGAAGGCCTCAAAGAGGTCCAAATATCCAGCTGCAGACATTACAACCTGAGTGTTTCCAAAGTGCTCTATGAAAAGAAGTGTTAAACACTGTGAGTTCAATGCACACATCCCAAAGCAGTTTCTGAGAATGATTCCGTCTATTTTTTCTACGAAGATATTTCCTTTTCTGCCGTTGGCCTCAAAGCGCTTGAAATCTCCACTTGCAAATTCCACAAAAAGAGAGTTTCAAATCTGCTCTGTCTAAAGGAAGGTTCAACTCTGTGAGTTGAATACACACCACAAAAAGAAGTTACTGAGAATTCTTCTGTCTAGCATTATATGAAAAATCCCGTTTCCAACGAAGGCCACAAAGAGGTCCAAATATCCACTTGCAGATTCTGCAAAAAGAGTGTTTCCAAACTGCTCTATGAAAAGAAACGTTAAACTCTGTGAGTTGAACGCAAACATCACAAAGTAGTTTCTGAGAATGACTCCGTCTAGTTTTTATACGAAGATATTTCCTTTTCTACCATTCACTTCAAAGCGCTTGAAGTCTCCCCCTGAAAATTCCACAAAAAGTGTTTCCAATCTGCTCCTCCTAAAGGAAGCTTCAACTCTGTGAGTTGAATACCCACAACCCAAAGAAGTTACTGAGAATTCTTCTGTCTAGCAGTATATGAAGAAATCCCGTTTCCAACGACGGCCTCAAATACATCCAAATATCCAGTTGCTGACTTTACAAACTGAGTGTTTCCAAACTGCTCTATGAAAAGAAAGGTTAAACACTGTGAGTTGAACACACACGTACCAAAGTAGTTTCTGAGAATGATTCTGTCTAGTTTGCATACGAAGATATTTCCTTTTCTACCATTGGCCTCAAAGCTCTGAAATCTCCACTTGCAAATTCCACAAAAAGAGAGTTTCAAATCTGCTGTTTCTAAAGGAAAGTTCAACTCGGAGAGTTGAATACACACCAGAAAAAGCAGTTACTGAGAAGTCTTCTGTCTAGCATTATAGGAAGAAATCCCATTTCCAACGAAGACTTCAAAGAGGTCCAAATATCCACTTGCAGATTCTGCAAAAAGAGTGTTTCGAAACAACTGTATGAAAAGAAAGGTTAAACACTGTGAGTTGAACGCACACATTGCAAAGCAGTTTCTGAGAATGATTCCGTCTAATTATTATACGAAGGTATTTCCTTTTCTATCATTGGCCTCAAAGCGCTTGATACCTCCACCTGAAAATTCCACAAAAAGAGTGTTTCCAATCTACTCTGTCTAAAGGAACGTTCAACTCTGTGAGTTGAATACACACACACAGAAAGAATTCACTGAGAATTCTTCTGTCTGGCATTACATGAAGAAATCCCGTTTCCAACGAAGGCCTCAAAGAGGTCCAAATATCCACTTGCAGATTCTGCAAAAAGAGTGTTTCAAAACCGCTCCATTAAAAGGAATGTTGAACTCTGTGAGTTGAATGCAAACATCACAACTCAGTTGCTGAGAATGCTTCTGACTAGATTTTATGGTAAGATATTTCCTTTTCTACCGTAGGCTTCAATGCCCTCTAAATACACCCTTGCAAATTCTACAAAGAGACTGTTTCATAACTGCTCTATAGGAAGAAAGGTTGAACTCTGTGAGTTGAATGCAGAGATCACAACGTGGTTTCTGCGAATGATTCTTTGTAGTTTTTACATGAAGATATTTCGTTGTCAACCGTAGGCTTCAAAGCACTCAAAGTATTCACTTGGAACTTTTACAAAACGAGTGTTAGGAAACTGCTCTTTCCAAAGTAAGGTTCAACTCTGTGAGTTGAATGCACACATAACAATCAAGAAGTTTCTGAGAATTCTTCTGTCCTGGTTTATATGAAAAAATCCCGTTTCCAACGAAGGCCTCAAAGACGTTTAAATATCCACTTGCAGACTTCACAAACAGAGGGTTTCCAAACCGCTCTATGAAAAGAAAGGTTAAACTCTGTGAGTTGAACGCACACATCACAAAGTAGCTTCTGAGAATGATACTGTCTAGTTTTTATACGAAGATATTTCCTTTCTACCATTGGCGTCAAAGCGCTAGAATTCTCCACTTGCAAATTCCACAAAAAGAGTGTTTCCAATCTGCTCTGTCTAAAGGAAGGTTCAACTCTGTGAGTTGAATACACACACACAAAGAAGCTACTGAGAATTCTTTTGTCAAGAATTATAAGAAGAAATCCCGTTTCCAACGAAGGCCACAAAGAGTTCCAAATATCCACTTGCACACTGTACAAACTAAGACTTTCTAAACTGCTCTATGCAAAGAAATGTTCAACCCTGTGAGTTTAATGCACACATCAGAAAGCAGTTTCTGAGAATGATTCCCTCTAGTTTTCATACGAAGATAGCCTTTTCTACCATTGGCCTCAAGGCTCTTGGAATCTCCACCTGAAAATTCCGCAAAAAGCGTGTTTCCAATGCGCTCTGTCTAAAGGAAGGTTCAACTCTCTGAGTTGAATACATACATCCCAAAAGAAGTTACTGCGAATTCTTCTGTCTAGCATTATGTGAAGAAATCCCGTTTCCAACGAAAGCCTCAAAGAGGTCCTAATATCCAGTTGCAGAATTTACAAACTGACTGTTTCCAAACTCATCTATGAAAAGAAAGGTTAAACCCTGTGAGTTGAATGCACATATCACAAAGTAGTTCCTGAGAATGATTCTGTCTAGTTTTTATACGAAGATATTTCCTTTTCCACCAATGGCCTCAAAGTGCTTGAAATCTCCCCTTGCAAATTCCACAGAAAAGTGTTTCAAATCTGCACTGTCTGAAGGAAGGTTCAACCCTGTGAGTTGAATACACACACACAGAAAAAAATTCACTGAGAATTCTATTGTCTATCATTACACGAAGAAATCCCGTTTACTACGAAGGCCTCAAAGAGGTCCAAATATCCAGCTGCAGACTTTAAAAACTGAGTGTTTCCAAAGTGCTCTATGAAAAGAAGTGTTAAACACTGTGAGTTCAATGCACACATCCCAAAGCAGTTTCTGAGAATGATTCCGTCTATTTTTTCTACGAAGATATTTCCTTTTCTACCGTTGGCCTCAAAGCGCTTGAAATCTCCCCTTGCAAATTCCACAAAAAGAGAGTTTCAAATCTGCTCTGTCTAATGGAAGGTTCAACTCTGTGAGTTGAATACACACCACAAAAAGAAGTTACTGAGAATTCTTCTGTCTAGCATTATATGAAAAATCCCGTTTCCAACGAAGGCCACAAAGAGGTCCAAATATCCACTTGCAGATTCTGCAAAAAGAGTGTTTCCAAACTGCTCTATGAAAAGAAACGTTAAACTCTGTGAGTTGAACGCAAACATCACAAAGTTGTTTGCTGAGAATGACTCCGTCTAGTTTTTATACGAAGATATTTCCTTTCCTACCATTCACTTCAAAGCCCTTGAAGTCTCCCCCTGAAAATTCCACAAAAAGTGTTTCCAATCTGCTCCGCCTAAAGGAAGCTTCAACTCTGTGAGTTGAATACCCACAACCCTAAGAAGTTACTGAGAATTCTTCTGTCTAGCATTATATGAAGAAATCCCGTTTCCAACGAAGGCCTCAAATACATCCAAATATCCAGTTGCTGACTTTGCAAACTGAGTGTTTCCAAACTGCTCTATGAAAAGAAAGGTTAAACACTGTGAGTTGAACACACACGTACCAAAGTAGTTTCTGAGAATGATTCTGTCTAGTTTGCATACGAAGATATTTCCTTTTCTACCATTGGCCTCAAAGCTCTGAAATCTCCACTTGCAAATTCCACAAAAAGAGAGTTTCAAATCTGCTGTTTCTAAAGGAAAGTTCAACTCTGAGAGTTGAATACACACCAGAAAAAGCAGTTACTGAGAAGTCTTCTGTCTAGCATTATATGAAGAAATCCCATTTCCAACGAAGACTTCAAAGAGGTCCAAATATCCACTTGCAGATTCTGCAAAAAGAGTGTTTCGAAACAACTGTATGAAAAGAAAGGTTAAACACTGTGAGTTGAACGCACACATTGCAAAGCAGTTTCTGAGAATGATTCCGTCTAATTATTATACGAAGGTATTTCCTTTTCTATCATTGGCCTCAAAGCGCTTGATACCTCCACCTGAAAATTCCACAAAAAGAGTGTTTCCAATCTACTCTGTCTAAAGGAACGTTCAACTCTGTGAGTTGAATACACACACACAGAAAGAATTCACTGAGAATTCTTCTGTCTGGCATTACATGAAGAAATCCCGTTTCCAACGAAGGCCTCAAAGAGGTCCAAATATCCACTTGCAGATTCTGCAAAAAGAGTGTTTCAAAACCGCTCCATTAAAAGGAATGTTGAACTCTGTGAGTTGAATGCAAACATCACAACTCAGTTGCTGAGAATGCTTCTGACTAGATTTTATGGTAAGATATTTCCTTTTCTACCGTAGGCTTCAATGCCCTCTAAATACACCCTTGCAAATTCTACAAAGAGACTGTTTCATAACTGCTCTACAGGAAGAAAGGTTCAACTCTGTGAGTTGAATGCAGAGATCACAACGTGGTTTCTGCGAATGTTTCTTTGTAGTTTTTACATGAAGATATTTCGTTGTCAACCGTAGGCTTCAAAGCACTCAAAGTATTCACTTGGAACTTTTACAAAAAGAGTGTTAGAAAACTGCTCTTTCCAAAGTAAGGTTCAACTCTGTGAGTTGAATGCACACATAACAATCAAGAAGTTTCTGAGAATTCTTCTGTCCTGGTTTATATGAAGAAATCCCGTTTCCAACGAAGGCCTCAAAGACGTTTAAATATCCACTTGCAGACTTCACAAACAGAGTGTTTCCAAACTGCTCTATGAAAAGAAAGGTTAAACTCTGTGAGTTGAACGCACACATCACAAAGTAGCTTCTGAGAATGATACTGTCTAGTTTTTATACGAAGATATTTCCTTTCTACCATTGGCGTCAAAGCGCTAGAATTCTCCACTTGCAAATTCCACAAAAAGAGTGTTTCCAATCTGCTCTGTCTAAAGGAAGGTTCAACTCTGTGAGTTGAATACACACACACAAAGAAGCTACTGAGAATTCATTTGTCAAGAATTATAAGAAGAAATCCCGTTTCCAACGAAGGCCTCAAAGAGTTCCAAATATCCACTTGCACACTGCACAAACTAAGTCTTTCCAAACTGCTCTATGCAAAGAAATGTTCAACTCTGTGAGTTTAATACACACATCACAAAGCAGTTTCTGAGAATGATACTGTCTAGTTTTTATACGAAGATATTTCCTTTTGTACCATTGGCCTCATACTGCTAGAATTTTCCACTTGCAAATTCCACAAAAAGAGTGTTTCCAATCCGCTCTGTCTAAAGGAAGGTTCAACTCTCTGATTTGAATACATACATCCCAAAAGAAGTTACTGAGAATTCTTCTGTCTAGCATTATGTGAAGAAATCCCGTTTCCAACGAAAGCCTCAAAGAGGTCCAAATATCCAGTTGCAGAATTTACAAACTGACTGTTTCCAAACTCATCTATGAAAAGAAAGGTTAAACTCTGTGAGTTGAATGCACATATCACAAAGTAGTTCCTGAGAATGATTCTGTCTAGTTTTCATACGAAGATATTTCCTTTTCCACCAATGGCCTCAAAGTGCTTGAAATCTCCCCTTGCAAATTCCACAGACAAGTGTTTCAAATCTGCACTGTCTAAAGGAAGGTTCAACCCTGTGAGTTGAATACACACACACAGAAAAAAATTCACTGAGAATTCTATTGTCTATCATTACACGAAGAAATCCCGTTTACTACGAAGCCTCAAAGAGGTCCAAATATCCAGCTGCAGACATTACAAACTGAGTGTTTCCAAAGTGCTCTATGAAAAGAAGTGTTAAACACTGTGAGTTCAATGCACACATCCCAAAGCAGTTTCTGAGAATGATTCCGTCTATTTTTTCTACGAAGATATTTCCTTTTCTGCCGTTGGCCTCAAAGCGCTTGAAATCTCCACTTGCAAATTCCACAAAGAGAGAGTTTCAAATCTGCTCTGTCTAAAGGAAGGTTCAACTCTGTGAGTTGAATACACACCACAAAAAGAAGTTACTGAGAATTCTTCTGTCTAGCATTATATGAAAAATCCCGTTTCCAACGAAGGCCACAAAGAGGTCCAAATATCCACTTGCAGATTCTGCAAAAAGAGTGTTTCCAAACTGCTCTATGAAAAGAAACGTTAAACTCTGTGAGTTGAACGCAAACATCACAAAGTAGTTTCTGAGAATGACTCCGTCTAGTTTTTATACGAAGATATTTCCTTTCCTACCATTCACTTCAAAGCGCTTGAAGTCTCCCCCTGAAAATTCCACAAAAAGTGTTTCCAATCTGCTCCGCCTAAAGGAAGCTTCAACTCTGTGACTTGAATACCCACAACCCAAAGAAGTTACTGAGAATTCTTCTGTCTAGCATTATATGAAGAAATCCCGTTTCCAACGAAGGCCTCAAATACATCCAAATATCCAGTTGCTGACTTTACAAACTGAGTGTTTCCAAACTGCTCTATGAAAAGAAAGGTTAAACACTGTGAGTTGAACACACACGTACCAAAGTAGTTTCTGAGAATGATTCTGTCTAGTTTGCATACGAAGATATTTCCTTTTCTACCATTGGCCTCAAAGCTCTGAAATCTCCACTTGCAAATTCCACAAAAAGAGAGTTTCAAATCTGCTGTTTCTAAAGGAAAGTTCAACTCTGAGAGTTGAATACACACCAGAAAAAGCAGTTACTGAGAAGTCTTCTGTCTAGCATTATATGAAGAAATCCCATTTCCAACGAAGACTTCAAAGAGGTCCAAATATCCACTTGCAGATTCTGCAAAAAGAGTGTTTCGAAACAACTGTATGAAAAGAAAGGTTAAACACTGTGAGTTGAACGCACACATTGCAAAGCAGTTTCTGAGAATGATTCCGTCTAATTATTATACGAAGGTATTTCCTTTTCTATCATTGGCCTCAAAGCGCTTGATACCTCCACCTGAAAATTCCACAAAAAGAGTGTTTCCAATCTACTCTGTCTAAAGGAACGTTCAACTCTGTGAGTTGAATACACACACACAGAAAGAATTCACTGAGAATTCTTCTGTCTGGCATTACATGAAGAAATCCCGTTTTCAACGAAGGCCTCAAAGAGGTCCAAATATCCACTTGCAGATTCTGCAAAAAGAGTGTTTCAAAACCGCTCCATGAAAAGGAATGTTGAACTCTGTGAGTTGAATGCAAACATCACAACTCAGTTTCTGAGAATGCTTCTGACTAGATTTTATGGTAAGATATTTCCTTTTCTACCGTAGGCTTCAATGCCCTCTAAATACACCCTTGCAAATTCTACAAAGAGACTGTTTCATAACTGCTCTATAGGAAGAAAGGTTGAACTCTGTGAGTTGAATGCAGAGATCACAACGTGGTTTCTGCGAATGATTCTTTGTAGTTTTTACATGAAGAATATTTCGTTGTCTACCGTAGGCTTCAAAGCACTCAAAGTATTCACTTGGAACTTTTACAAAAAGAGTGTTAGAAAACTGCTCTTTCCAAAGTAAGGTTCAACTCTGTGAGTTGAATGCACACATAACAAACAAGAAGTTTCTGAGAATCCTTCTGTCCTGGTTTATAGGAAGAAATCCCGTTTCCAACGAAGGCCTCAAAGACGTTTAAATATCCACTTGCAGACTTCACAAACAGAGTGTTTCCAAACTGCTCTATGAAAAGAAAGGGTAAACACTGTGAGTTGAACGCACACATCACAAAGTAGTTTCTGAGAATGATACTGTCTAGTTTTTATACGAAGATATTTCCTTTTGTACCATTGGCCTCATACTGCTAGAATTTTCCACTTGCAAATTCCACAAAAAGAGTGTTTCCAATCTGCTCTGTCTAAAGGAAGGTTCAACTCTGTGAGTTGAGTACACACACACAAAGAAGCTACTGAGAATTCTTTTGTCAAGAATTATAAGAAGAAATCCCGTTTCCAACCAAGGCCTCAAAGAGTTCCAAATATCCACTTGCACACTGCACAAACTAAGTCTTTCCATACTGCTCTATGCAAAGAAATGTTCAACTCTGTGAGTTTAATACACACATCACAAAGCAGTTTGCTGAGAATGATACTGTCTAGTTTTTATACGAAGATATTTCCTTTTGTACCATTGGCCTCATACTACTAGAATTTTCCACTTGCAAATTCCACAAAAAGAGTGTTTCCAATCTGCTCTGTCTAAAGGAAGGTTCAACTCTCTGATTTGAATACATACATCCCAAAAGAAGTTACTGAGAATTCTTCTGTCTAGCATTATGTGAAGAAATCCCGTTTCCAACGAAAGCCTCAAAGAGGTACAAATATCCAGTTGCAGAATTTACAAACTGACTGTTTCCAAACTCATCTATGAAAAGAAAGGTTGAACTCTGTGAGTTGAATGCACATATCACAAAGTAGTTCCTGAGAATGATTCTGTCTAGTTTTTATACGAAGATATTTCCTTTTCCACCAATGGCCTCAAAGTGCTTGAAATCTCCCCTTGCAAATTCCACAGACAAGTGTCTCAAATCTGCACTGTCTAAAGGAAGGTTCAACCCTGTGAGTTGAATACACACACACAGAAAAAAATTCACTGAGAATTCTATTGTCTATCATTACACGAAGAAATCCCGTTTACTACGAAGGCCTCAAAGAGGTCCAAATATCCAGCTGCAGACATTACAAACTGAGTGTTTCCAAAGTGCTCTATGAAAAGAAGTGTTAAACACTGTGAGTTCAATGCACACATCCCAAAGCAGTTTCTGAGAATGATTCCGTCTATTTTTTCTACGAAGATATTTCCTTTTCTACCGTTGGCCTCAAAGCGCTTGAAATCTCCACTTGCAAATTCCACAAAAAGAGAGTTTCAAATCTGCTCTGTCTAAAGGAAGGTTCAACTCTGTGAGTTGAATACACACCACAAAAAGAAGTTACTGAGAATTCTTCTGTCTAGCATTATATGAAAAATCCCGTTTCCAACGACAGGCCACAAAGAGGTCCAAATATCCACTTGCAGATTCTGCAAAAAGAGTGTTTCCAAACTGCTCTATGAAAAGAAACGTTAAACTCTGTGAGTTGAACGCAAACATCACAAAGTAGTTTCTGAGAATGACTCCGTCTAGTTTTTATACGAAGATATTTCCTTTCCTACCATTCACTTCAAAGCGCTTGAAGTCTCCCCCTGAAAATTCCACAAAAAGTGTTTCCAATCTGCTCCGCCTAAAGGAAGCTTCAACTCTGTGAGTTGAATACCCACAACCCAAAGAAGTTACTGAGAATTCTTCTGTCTAGCATTATATGAAGAAATCCCGTTTCCAACGAAGGCCTCAAATACATCCAAATATCCAGTTGCTGACTTTACAAACTGAGTGTTTCCAAACTGCTCTATGAAAAGAAAGGTTAAACACTGTGAGTTGAACACACACGTACCAAAGTAGTTTCTGAGAATGATTCTGTCTAGTTTGCATACGAAGATATTTCCTTTTCTACCATTGGCCTCAAAGCTCTGAAATCTCCACTTGCAAATTCCACAAAAAGAGAGTTTCAAATCTGCTGTTTCTAAAGGAAAGTTCAACTCTGAGAGTTGAATACACACCAGAAAAAGCAGTTACTGAGAAGTCTTCTGTCTAGCATTATATGAAGAAATCCCATTTCCAACGAAGACTTCAAAGAGGTCCAAATATCCACTTGCAGATTCTGCAAAAAGAGTGTTTCGAAACAACTGTATGAAAAGAAAGGTTAAACACTGTGAGTTGAACGCACACATTGCAAAGCGGTTTCTGAGAATGACTCCGTCTAATTATTATACGAAGGTATTTCCTTTTCTATCATTGGCCTCAAAGCGCTTGATACCTCCACCTGAAAATTCCACAAAAAGAGTGTTTCCAATCTACTCTGTCTAAAGGAACGTTCAACTCTGTGAGTTGAATACACACACACAGAAAGAATTCACTGAGAATTCTTCTGTCTGGCATTACATGAAGAAATCCCGTTTCCAACGAAGGCCTCAAAGAGGTCCAAATATCCACTTGCAGATTCTGCAAAAAGAGTGTTTCAAAACCGCTCCATTAAAAGGAATGTTGAACTCTGTGAGTTGAATGCAAACATCACAACTCAGTTTCTGAGAATGCTTCTGACTAGATTTTATGGTAAGATATTTCCTTTTCTACCGTAGGCTTCAATGCCCTCTAAATACACCCTTGCAAATTCTACAAAGAGACTGTTTCATAACTGCTCTATAGGAAGAAAGGTTGAACTCTGTGAGTTGAATGCAGAGATCACAACGTGGTTTCTGCGAATGATTCTTTGTAGTTTTTACATGAAGATATTTCGTTGTCAACCGTAGGCTTCAAAGCACTCAAAGTATTCACTTGGAACTTTTACAAAAAGAGTGTTAGAAAACTGCTCTTTCCAAAGTAAGGTTCAACTCTGTGAGTTGAATGCACACATAACAATCAAGAAGTTTCTGAGAATTCTTCTGTCCTGGTTTATATGAACAAATCCCGTTTCCAACGAAGGCCTCAAAGACGTTTAAATATCCACTTGCAGACTTCACAAACAGAGGGTTTCCAAACTGCTCTATGAAAAGAAAGGTTAAACTCTGTGAGTTGAACGCACACATCACAAAGTAGTTTCTGAGAATGATACTGTCTAGTTTTTATACGAAGATATTTCCTTTCTACCATTGGCGTCAAAGCGCTAGAATTCTCCACTTGCAAATTCCACAAAAAGAGTGTTTCCAATCTGCTCTGTCTAAAGGAAGGTTCAACTCTGTGAGTTGAATACACACACACAAAGAAGCTACTGAGAATTCTTTTGTCAAGAATTATAAGAAGAAATCCCGTTTCCAACGAAGGCCTCAAAGAGTTCCAAATATCCACTTGCACACTGCACAAACTAAGTCTTTCCAAACTGCTCTATGCAAAGAAATGTTCAACTCTGTGAGTTTAATACACACATCACAAAGCAGTTTCTGAGAATGATACTGTCTAGTTTTTATACGAAGATATTTCCTTTTGTACCATTGGCCTCCTACTGCTAGAATTTTCCACTTGCAAATTCCACAAAAAGAGTGTTTCCAATCCGCTCTGTCTAAAGGAAGGTTCAACTCTCTGATTTGAATACATACATCCCAAAAGAAGTTACTGAGAATTCTTCTGTCTAGCATTATGTGAAGAAATCCCGTTTCCAACGAAAGCCTCAAAGAGGTCCAAATATCCAGTTGCAGAATTTACAAACTGACTGTTTCCAAACTCATCTATGAAAAGAAAGGTTAAACTCTGGGAGTTGAATGCACATATCACAAAGTAGTTCCTGAGAATGATTCTGTCTAGTTTTTATACGAAGATATTTCCTTTTCCACCAATGGCCTCAAAGTGCTTGAAATCTCCCCTTGCAAATTCCACAGACAAGTGTTTCAAATCTGCACTGTCTAAAGGAAGGTTCAACCCTGTGAGTTGAATACACACACACAGAAAAAAATTCACTGAGAATTCTATTGTCTATCATTACACGAAGAAATCCCGTTTACTACGAAGGCCTCAAAGAGGTCCAAATATCCAGCTGCAGACATTACAACCTGAGTGTTTCCAAAGTGCTCCATGAAAAGAAGTGTTAAACACTGTGAGTTCAATGCACACATCCCAAAGCAGTTTCTGAGAATGATTCCGTCTATTTTTTCTACGAAGATATTTCCTTTTCTGCCGTTGGCCTCAAAGCGCTTGAAATCTCCACTTGCAAATTCCACAAAAAGAGAGTTTCAAATCTGCTCTGTCTAAAGGAAGGTTCAACTCTGTGAGTTGAATACACACCACAAAAAGAAGTTACTGAGAATTCTTCTGTCTAGCATTATATGAAAAATCCCGTTTCCAACGAAGGCCACAAAGAGGTCCAAATATCCACTTGCAGATTCTGCAAAAAGAGTGTTTCCAAACTGCTCTATGAAAAGAAACGTTAAACTCTGTGAGTTGAACGCAAACATCACAAAGTAGTTTCTGAGAATGACTCCGTCTAGTTTTTATACGAAGATATTTCCTTTCCTACCATTCACTTCAAAGCGCTTGAAGTCTCCCCCTGAAAATTCCACAAAAAGTGTTTCCAATCTGCTCTGCCTAAAGGAAGCTTCAACTCTGTGACTTGAATACCCACAACCCAAAGAAGTTACTGAGAATTCTTCTGTCTAGCATTATATGAAGAAATCCCGTTTCCAACGAAGGCCTCAAATACATCCAAATATCCAGTTGCTGACTTTACAAACTGAGTGTTTCCAAACTGCTCTATGAAAAGAAAGGTTAAACACTGTGAGTTGAACACACACGTACCAAAGTAGTTTCTGAGAATGATTCTGTCTAGTTTGCATACGAAGATATTTCCTTTTCTACCATTGGCCTCAAAGCTCTGAAATCTCCACTTGCAAATTCCACAAAAAGAGAGTTTCAAATCTGCTGTTTCTAAAGGAAAGTTCAACTCTGAGAGTTGAATACACACCAGAAAAAGCAGTTACTGAGAAGTCTTCTGTCTAGCATTATATGAAGAAATCCCATTTCCAACGAAGACTTCAAAGAGGTCCAAATATCCACTTGCAGATTCTGCAAAAAGAGTGTTTCGAAACAACTGTATGAAAAGAAAGGTTAAACACTGTGAGTTGAACGCACACATTGCAAAGCAGTTTCTGAGAATGATTCCGTCTAATTATTATACGAAGGTATTTCCTTTTCTATCATTGGCCTCAAAGCGCTTGATACGTCCACCTGAAAATTCCACAAAAAGAGTGTTTCCAATCTACTCTGTCTAAAGGAACGTTCAACTCTGTGAGTTGAATACACACACACAGAAAGAATTCACTGAGAATTCTTCTGTCTGGCATTACATGAAGAAATCCCGTTTCCAACGAAGGCCTCAAAGAGGTCCAAATATCCACTTGCAGATTCTGCAAAAAGAGTGTTTCAAAACCGCTCCATTAAAAGGAATGTTGAACTCTGTGAGTTGAATGCAAACATCACAACTCAGTTTCTGAGAATGCTTTTGACTAGATTTTATGGTAAGATATTTCCTTTTCTACCGTAGGCTTCAATGCCCTCTAAATACACCCTTGCAAATTCTACAAAGAGACTGTTTCATAACTGCTCTATAGGAAGAAAGGTTGAACTCTGTGAGTTGAATGCAGAGATCACAACGTGGTTTCTGCGAATGATTCTTTGTAGTTTTTACATGAAGATATTTCGTTGTCAACCGTAGGCTTCAAAGCACTCAAAGTATTCACTTGGAACTTTTACAAAAAGAGTATTAGAAAACTGCTCTTTCCAAAGTAAGGTTCAACTCTGTGAGTTGAATGCACACATAACAATCAAGAAGTTTCTGAGAATTCTTCTGTCCTGGTTTATATGAAAAAATCCCGTTTCCAACGAAGGCCTCAAAGACGTTTAAATATCCACTTGCAGACTTCACAAACAGAGTGTTTCCAAACTGCTCTATGAAAAGAAAGGTTAAACTCTGTGAGTTGAACGCACACATCACAAAGTAGCTTCTGAGAATGATACTGTCTAGTTTTTATACGAAGATATTTCCTTTCTACCATTGGCGTCAAAGCGCTAGAATTCTCCACTTGCAAATTCCACAAAAAGAGTGTTTCCAATCTGCTCTGTCTAAAGGAAGGTTCAACTCTGTGAGTTGAATACACACACACAAAGAAGCTACTGAGAATTCTTTTGTCAAGAATTATAAGAAGAAATCCCGTTTCCAACGAAGGCCTCAAAGAGTTCCAAATATCCACTTGCACACTGCACAAACTAAGTCTTTCCAAACTGCTCTATGCAAAGAAATGTTCAACTCTGTGAGTTTAATACACACATCACAAAGCAGTTTCTGAGAATGATACTGTCTAGTTTTTATACGAAGATATTTCCTTTTGTACCATTGGCCTCATACTGCTAGAATTTTCCACTTGCAAATTCCACAAAAAGAGTGTTTCCAATCCGCTCTGTCTAAAGGAAGGTTCAACTCTCTGATTTGAATACATACATCCCAAAAGAAGTTACTGAGAATTCTTCTGTCTAGCATTATGTGAAGAAATCCCGTTTCCAACGAAAGCCTCAAAGAGGTCCAAATATCCAGTTGCAGAATTTACAAACTGACTGTTTCCAAACTCATCTATGAAAAGAAAGGTTAAACTCTGTGAGTTGAATGCACATATCACAAAGTAGTTCCTGAGAATGATTCTGTCTAGTTTTTATACGAAGATATTTCCTTTTCCACCAATGGCCTCAAAGTGCTTGAAATCTCCCCTTGCAAATTCCACAGACAAGTGTTTCAAATCTGCACTGTCTAAAGGAAGGTTCAACCCTGTGAGTTGAATACACACACACAGAAAAAAATTCACTGAGAATTCTATTGTCTATCATTACACGAAGAAATCCCGTTTACTACGAAGGCCTCAAAGAGGTCCAAATATCCAGCTGCAGACATTACAAACTGAGTGTTTCCAAAGTGCTCTATGAAAAGAAGTGTTAAACACTGTGAGTTCAATGCACACATCCCAAAGCAGTTTCTGAGAAGGATTCCGTCTATTTTTTCTACGAAGATATTTCCTTTTCTGCCGTTGGCCTCAAAGCGCTTGAAATCTCCACTTGCAAATTCCACAAAAAGAGAGTTTCAAATCTGCTCTGTCTAAAGGAAGGTTCAACTCTGTGAGTTGAATACACACCACAAAAAGAAGTTACTGAGAATTCTTCTGTCTAGCATTATATGAAAAATCCCGTTTCCAACGAAGGCCACAAAGAGGTCCAAATATCCACTTGCAGATTCTGCAAAAAGAGTGTTTCCAAACTGCTCTATGAAAAGAAACGTTAAACTCTGTGAGTTGAACGCAAACATCACAAAGTAGTTTCTGAGAATGACTCCGTCTAGTTTTTATACGAAGATATTTCCTTTCCTACCATTCACTTCAAAGCGCTTGAAGTCTCCCCCTGAAAATTCCACAAAAAGTGTTTCCAATCTGCTCCGCCTAAAGGAAGCTTCAACTCTGTGACTTGAATACCCACAACCCAAAGAAGTTACTGAGAATTCTTCTGTCTAGCATTATATGAAGAAATCCCGTTTCCAACGAAGGCCTCAAATACATCCAAATATCCAGTTGCTGACTTTACAAACTGAGTGTTTCCAAACTGCTCTATGAAAAGAAAGGTTAAACACTGTGAGTTGAACACACACTGTACCAAAGTAGTTTCTGAGAATGATTCTGTCTAGTTTGCATACGAAGATATTTCCTTTTCTACCATTGGCCTCAAAGCTCTGAAATCTCCACTTGCAAATTCCACAAAAAGAGAGTTTCAAATCTGCTGTTTCTAAAGGAAAGTTCAACTCTGAGAGTTGAATACACACCAGAAAAAGCAGTTACTGAGAAGTCTTCTGTCTAGCATTATATGAAGAAATCCCATTTCCAACGAAGACTTCAAAGAGGTCCAAATATCCACTTGCAGATTCTGCAAAAAGAGTGTTTCGAAACAACTGTATGAAAAGAAAGGTTAAACACTGTGAGTTGAACGCACACATTGCAAAGCAGTTTCTGAGAATGATTCCGTCTAATTATTATACGAAGGTATTTCCTTTTCTATCATTGGTCTCAAAGCGCTTGATACCTCCACCTGAAAATTCCACAAAAAGAGTGTTTCCAATCTACTCTGTCTAAAGGAACGTTCAACTCTGTGAGTTGAATACACACACACAGAAAGAATTCACTGAGAATTCTTCTGTCTGGCATTACATGAAGAAATCCCGTTTCCAACGAAGGCCTCAAAGAGGTCCAAATATCCACTTGCAGATTCTGCAAAAAGAGTGTTTCAAAACCGCTCCATTAAAAGGAATGTTGAACTCTGTGAGTTGAATGCAAACATCACAACTCAGTTGCTGAGAATGCTTCTGACTAGATTTTATGGTAAGATATTTCCTTTTCTACCGTAGGCTTCAATGCCCTCTAAATACACCCTTGCAAATTCTACAAAGAGACTGTTTCATAACTGCTCTATAGGAAGAAAGGTTGAACTCTGTGAGTTGAATGCAGAGATCACAACGTGGTTTCTGCGAATGATTCTTTGTAGTTTTTACATGAAGATATTTCGTTGTCAACCGTAGGCTTCAAAGCACTCAAAGTATTCACTTGGAACTTTTACAAAAAGAGTGTTAGAAAACTGCTCTTTCCAAAGTAAGGTTCAACTCTGTGAGTTGAATGCACACATAACAATCAAGAAGTTTCTGAGAATTCTTCTGTCCTGGTTTATATGAAAAAATCCCGTTTCCAACGAAGGCCTCAAAGACGTTTAAATATCCACTTGCAGACTTCACAAACAGAGGGTTTCCAAACTGCTCTATGAAAAGAAAGGTTAAACTCTGTGAGTTGAACGCACACATCACAAAGTAGCTTCTGAGAATGATACTGTCTAGTTTTTATACGAAGATATTTCCTTTCTACCATTGGCGTCAAAGCGCTAGAATTCTCCACTTGCAAATTCCACAAAAAGAGTGTTTCCAATCTGCTCTGTCTAAAGGAAGGTTCAACTCTGTGAGTTGAATACACACACACAAAGAAGCTACTGAGAATTCTTTTGTCAAGAATTATAAGAAGAAATCCCGTTTCCAACGAAGGCCTCAAAGAGTTCCAAATATCCACTTGCACACTGCACAAACTAAGTCTTTCCAAACTGCTCTATGCAAAGAAATGTTCAACTCTGTGAGTTTAATACACACATCACAAAGCAGTTTCTGAGAATGATACTGTCTAGTTTTTATACGAAGATATTTCCTTTTGTACCATTGGCCTCATACTGCTAGAATTTTCCACTTGCAAATTCCACAAAAAGAGTGTTTCCAATCCGCTCTGTCTAAAGGAAGGTTCAACTCTCTGATTTGAATACATACATCCCAAAAGAAGTTACTGAGAATTCTTCTGTCTAGCATTATGTGAAGAAATCCCGTTTCCAACGAAAGCCTCAAAGAGGTCCAAATATCCAGTTGCAGAATTTACAAACTGACTGTTTCCAAACTCATCTATGAAAAGAAAGGTTAAACTCTGGGAGTTGAATGCACATATCACAAAGTAGTTCCTGAGAATGATTCTGTCTAGTTTTCATACGAAGATATTTCCTTTTCCACCAATGGCCTCAAAGTGCTTGAAATCTCCCCTTGCAAATTCCACAGACAAGTGTTTCAAATCTGCACTGTCTAAAGGAAGGTTCAACCCTGTGAGTTGAATACACACACACAGAAAAAAATTCACTGAGAATTCTATTGTCTATCATTACACGAAGAAATCCCGTTTACTACGAAGGCCTCAAAGAGGTCCAAATATCCAGCTGCAGACATTACAAACTGAGTGTTTCCAAAGTGCTCTATGAAAAGAAGTGTTAAACACTGTGAGTTCAATGCACACATCCCAAAGCAGTTTCTGAGAATGATTCCGTCTATTTTTTCTACGAAGATATTTCCTTTTCTGCCGTTGGCCTCAAAGCGCTTGAAATCTCCACTTGCAAATTCCACAAAAAGAGAGTTTCAAATCTGCTCTGTCTAAAGGAAGGTTCAACTCTGTGAGTTGAATACACACCACAAAAAGAAGTTACTGAGAATTCTTCTGTCTAGCATTATATGAAAAATCCCGTTTCCAACGAAGGCCACAAAGAGGTCCAAATATCCACTTGCAGATTCTGCAAAAAGAGTGTTTCCAAACTGCTCTATGAAAAGAAACGTTAAACTCTGTGAGTTGAACGCAAACATCACAAAGTAGTTTCTGAGAATGACTCCGTCTAGTTTTTATACGAAGATATTTCCTTTCCTACCATTCACTTCAAAGCGCTTGAAGTCTCCCCCTGAAAATTCCACAAAAAGTGTTTCCAATCTGCTCCGCCTAAAGGAAGCTTCAACTCTGTGACTTGAATACCCACAACCCAAAGAAGTTACTGAGAATTCTTCTGTCTAGCATTATATGAAGAAATCCCGTTTCCAACGAAGGCCTCAAATACATCCAAATATCCAGTTGCTGACTTTACAAACTGAGTGTTTCCAAACTGCTCTATGAAAAGAAAGGTTAAACACTGTGAGTTGAACACACACGTACCAAAGTAGTTTCTGAGAATGATTCTGTCTAGTTTGCATACGAAGATATTTCCTTTTCTACCATTGGCCTCAAAGCTCTGAAATCTCCACTTGCAAATTCCCAAAAAGAGAGTTTCAAATCTGCTGTTTCTAAAGGAAAGTTCAACTCTGAGAGTTGAATACACACCAGAAAAAGCAGTTACTGAGAAGTCTTCTGTCTAGCATTATATGAAGAAATCCCATTTCCAACGAAGACTTCAAAGAGGTCCAAATATCCACTTGCAGATTCTGCAAAAAGAGTGTTTCGAAACAACTGTATGAAAAGAAAGGTTAAACACTGTGAGTTGAACGCACACATTGCAAAGCGGTTTCTGAGAATGATTCCGTCTAATTATTATACGAAGGTATTTCCTTTTCTATCATTGGCCTCAAAGCGCTTGATACCTCCACCTGAAAATTCCACAAAAAGAGTGTTTCCAATCTACTCTGTCTAAAGGAACGTTCAACTCTGTGAGTTGAATACACACACACAGAAAGAATTCACTGAGAATTCTTCTGTCTGGCATTACATGAAGAAATCCCGTTTCCAACGAAGGCCTCAAAGAGGTCCAAATATCCACTTGCAGATTCTGCAAAAAGAGTGTTTCAAAACCGCTCCATTAAAAGGAATGTTGAACTCTGTGAGTTGAATGCAAACATCACAACTCAGTTTCTGAGAATGCTTCTGACTAGATTTTATGGTAAGATATTTCCTTTTCTACCGTAGGCTTCAATGCCCTCTAAATACACCCTTGCAAATTCTACAAAGAGACTGTTTCATAACTGCTCTATAGGAAGAAAGGTTCAACTCTGTGAGTTGAATGCAGAGATCACAACGTTGGTTTCTGCGAATGATTCTTTGTAGTTTTTACATGAAGATATTTCGTTGTCAACCGTAGGCTTCAAAGCACTCAAAGTATTCACTTGGAACTTTTACAAAAAGAGTGTTAGAAAACTGCTCTTTCCAAAGTAAGGTTCAACTCTGTGAGTTGAATGCACACATAACAATCAAGAAGTTTCTGAGAATTCTTCTGTCCTGGTTTATATGAAAAAATCCCGTTTCCAACGAAGGCCTCAAAGACGTTTAAATATCCACTTGCAGACTTCACAAACAGAGGGTTTCCAAACTGCTCTATGAAAAGAAAGGTTAAACTCTGTGAGTTGAACGCACACATCACAAAGTAGCTTCTGAGAATGATACTGTCTAGTTTTTATACGAAGATATTTCCTTTCTACCATTGGCGTCAAAGCGCTAGAATTCTCCACTTGCAAATTCCACAAAAAGAGTGTTTCCAATCTGCTCTGTCTAAAGGAAGGTTCAACTCTGTGAGTTGAATACACACACACAAAGAAGCTACTGAGAATTCTTTTGTCAAGAATTATAAGAAGAAATCCCGTTTCCAACGAAGGCCTCAAAGAGTTCCAAATATCCACTTGCACACTGCACAAACTAAGTCTTTCCAAACTGCTCTATGCAAAGAAATGTTCAACTCTGTGAGTTTAAAACACACATCACAAAGCAGTTTCTGAGAATGATACTGTCTAGTTTTTATACGAAGATATTTCCTTTTGTACCATTGGCCTCATACTGCTAGAATTTTCCACTTGCAAATTCCACAAAAAGAGTGTTTCCAATCCGCTCTGTCTAAAGGAAGGTTCAACTCTCTGATTTGAATACATACATCCCAAAAGAAGTTACTGAGAATTCTTCTGTCTAGCATTATGTGAAGAAATCCCGTTTCCAACGAAAGCCTCAAAGAGGTCCAAATATCCAGTTGCAGAATTTACAAACTGACTGTTTCCAAACTCATCTATGAAAAGAAAGGTTAAACTCTGGGAGTTGAATGCACATATCACAAAGTAGTTCCTGAGAATGATTCTGTCTAGTTTTTATACGAAGATATTTCCTTTTCCACCAATGGCCTCAAAGTGCTTGAAATCTCCCCTTGCAAATTCCACAGACAAGTGTTTCAAATCTACACTGTCTAAAGGAAGGTTCAACCCTGTGAGTTGAATACACACACACAGAAAAAAATTCACTGAGAATTCTATTGTCTATCATTACACGAAGAAATCCCGTTTACTACGAAGGCCTCAAAGAGGTCCAAATATCCAGCTGCAGACATTACAAACTGAGTGTTTCCAAAGTGCTCTATGAAAAGAAGTGTTAAACACTGTGAGTTCAATGCACACATCCCAAAGCAGTTTCTGAGAATGATTCCGTCTATTTTTTCTACGAAGATATTTACTTTTCTACCGTTGGCCTCAAAGCGCTTGAAATCTCCACTTGCAAATTCCACAAAAAGAGAGTTTCAAATCTGCTCTGTCTAAAGGAAGGTTCAACTCTGTGAGTTGAATACACACCACAAAAAGAAGTTACTGAGAATTCTTCTGTCTAGCATTATATGAAAAATCCCGTTTCCAACGAAGGCCACAAAGAGGTCCAAATATCCACTTGCAGATTCTGCAAAAAGAGTGTTTCCAAACTGCTCTATGAAAAGAAACGTTAAACTCTGTGAGTTGAACGCAAACATCACAAAGTAGTTTCTGAGAATGACTCTGTCTAGTTTATATACGAAGATATTTCCTTTTCTACCATTCACTTCAAAGCGCTTGAAGTCTCCCCCTGAAAATTCCACAAAAAGTGTTTCCAATCTGCTCCGCCTAAAGGAAGCTTCAACTCTGTGAATTGAATACCCACAACCCTAAGAAGTTACTGAGAATTCTTCTGTCTAGCATTATATGAAGAAATCCCGTTTCCAACGAAGGCCTCAAATACATCCAAATATCCAGTTGCTGACTTTACAAACTGAGTGTTTCCAAACTGCTCTATGAAAAGAAAGGTTAAACACTGTGAGTTGAACACACACGTACCAAAGTAGTTTCTGAGAATGATTCTGTCTAGTTTGCATACGAAGATATTTCCTTTTCTACCATTGGCCTCAAAGCTCTGAAATCTCCACTTGCAAATTCCACAAAAAGAGAGTTTCAAATCTGCTGTTTCTAAAGGAAAGTTCAACTCTGAGAGTTGAATACACACCAGAAAAAGCAGTTACTGAGAAGTCTTCTGTCTAGCATTATATGAAGAAATCCCATTTCCAACGAAGACTTCAAAGAGGTCCAAATATCCACTTGCAGATTCTGCAAAAAGAGTGTTTCGAAACAACTGTATGAAAAGAAAGGTTAAACACTGTGAGTTGAACGCACACATTGCAAAGCGGTTTCTGAGAATGATTCCGTCTAATTATTATACGAAGGTATTTCCTTTTCTATCATTGGCCTCAAAGCGCTTGATACCTCCACCTGAAAATTCCACAAAAAGAGTGTTTCCAATCTACTCTGTCTAAAGGAACGTTCAACTCTGTGAGTTGAATACACACACACAGAAAGAATTCACTGAGAATTCTTCTGTCTGGCATTACATGAAGAAATCCCGTTTCCAACGAAGGCCTCAAAGAGGTCCAAATATCCACTTGCAGATTCTGCAAAAAGAGTGTTTCAAAACCGCTCCATTAAAAGGAATGTTGAACTCTGTGAGTTGAATGCAAACATCACAACTCAGTTTCTGAGAATGCTTCTGACTAGATTTTATGGTAAGATATTTCCTTTTCTACCGTAGGCTTCAATGCCCTCTAAATACACCCTTGCAAATTCTACAAAGAGACTGTTTCATAACTGCTCTATAGGAAGAAAGGTTCAACACTGTGAGTTGAATGCAGAGATCACAACGTGGTTTCTGCGAATGATTCTTTGTAGTTTTTACATGAAGATATTTCGTTGTCAACCGTAGGCTTCAAAGCACTCAAAGTATTCACTTGGAACTTTTACAAAAAGAGTGTTAGAAAACTGCTCTTTCCAAAGTAAGGTTCAACTCTGTGAGTTGAATGCACACATAACAATCAAGAAGTTTCTGAGAATTCTTCTGTCCTGGTTTATATGAAAAAATCCCGTTTCCAACGAAGGCCTCAAACACGTTTAAATATCCACTTGCAGACTTCACAAACAGAGGGTTTCCAAACTGCTCTATGAAAAGAAAGGTTAAACTCTGTGAGTTTAATACACACATCACAAAGCAGTTTCTGAGAATGATACTGTCTAGTTTTTATACGAAGATATTTCCTTTTGTACCATTGGCCTCATACTGCTAGAATTTTCCACTTGCAAATTCCACAAAAAGAGTGTTTCCAATCCGCTCTGTCTAAAGGAAGGTTCAACTCTCTGATTTGAATACATACATCCCAAAAGAAGTTACTGAGAATTCTTCTGTCTAGCATTATGTGAAGAAATCCCGTTTCCAACGAAAGCCTCAAAGAGGTCCAAATATCCAGTTGCAGAATTTACAAACTGACTGTTTCCAAACTCATCTATGAAAAGAAAGGTTAAACTCTGGGAGTTGAATGCACATATCACAAAGTAGTTCCTGAGAATGATTCTGTCTAGTTTTCATACGAAGATATTTCCTTTTCCACCAATGGCCTCAAAGTGCTTGAAATCTCCCCTTGCAAATTCCACAGACAAGTGTTTCAAATCTGCACTGTCTAAAGGAAGGTTCAACCCTGTGAGTTGAATACACACACACAGAAAAAAATTCACTGAGAATTCTATTGTCTATCATTACACGAAGAAATCCCGTTTACCACGAAGGCCTCAAAGAGGTCCAAATATCCAGCTGCAGACATTACAAACTGAGTGTTTCCAAAGTGCTCTATGAAAAGAAGTGTTAAACACTGTGAGTTCAATGCACACATCCCAAAGCAGTTTCTGAGAATGATTCCGTCTATTTTTTCTACGAAGATATTTCCTTTTCTGCCGTTGGCCTCAAAGCGCTTGAAATCTCCACTTGCAAATTCCACAAAAAGAGAGTTTCAAATCTGCTCTGTCTAAAGGAAGGTTCAACTCTGTGAGTTGAATACACACCACAAAAAGAAGTTACTGAGAATTCTTCTGTCTAGCATTATATGAAAAATCCCGTTTCCAACGAAGGCCACAAAGAAGTCCAAATATCCACTTGCAGATTCTGCAAAAAGAGTGTTTCCAAACTGCTCTATGAAAAGAAACGTTAAACTCTGTGAGTTGAACGCAAACATCACAAAGTAGTTTCTGAGAATGACTCCGTCTAGTTTTTATACGAAGATATTTCCTTTTCTACCGTTGGCCTCAAAGCGCTTGAAGTCTCCCCCTGAAAATTCCACAAAAAGTGTTTCCAATCTGCTCCGCCTAAAGGAAGCTTCAGCTCTGTGAGTTGAATACCCACAACCCAAAGAAGTTACTGAGAATTCTTCTGTCTAGCACTACATGAAGAAATCCCGTTTCCAACGAAGGCCTCAAATACATCCAGATATCCAGTTGCTGACTTTACAAACTGAGTGTTTCCAAACTGCTCTATGAAAGGAAAGGTTAAACACTGTGGGTTGAACACACACGTACCAAAGTAGTTTCTGAGAATGATTCTGTCTAGTTTGCATACGAAGATATTTCCTTTTCTACCATTGGCCTCAAAGTTTGAAATCTCCACTTGCAAATTCCAAAAAAAGAGAGTTTCAAATCTGCTGTTTGTAAAGGAAAGTTCAACTCTGAGAGTTGAATACACACCAGAAAAAGCAGTTACTGAGAAGTCTTCTGTCTAGCATTATATGAAGAAATCCCATTTCCAACGAAGACTTCAAAGAGGTCCAAATATCCACTTGCAGATTCTGCAAAAAGAGTTTTTCGAAACAACTGTATGAAAAGAAATGTTAAACACTGTGAGTTGAACGCACACATTGCAAAGCAGTTTCTGAGAATGATTCCGTCTAATTATTATACGAAGGTATTTCCTTTTCTATCATTGACCTCAAAGCGCTTGATACCTCCACCTGAAAATTCCACAAAAAGAGTGTTTCCAATCTACTCTGTCTAAAGGAACGTTCAACTCTGTGAGTTGAATACACACACACAGAAAGAATTCACTGAGAATTCTTCTGTCTGGCATTACATGAAGAAATCCCGTTTCCAACGAAGGCCTCAAAGAGGTCCAAATATCCACTTGCAGATTCTGCAAAAAGAGTGTTTCAAAACCGCTCTATTAAAAGGAATGTTGAACTCTGTGAGTTGAATGCAAACATCACAACTCAGTTTCTGAGAATGCTTCTGACTAGATTTTATGGTCAGATATTTCCTTTTCTACCGTAGGCCTCAATGCCCTCTAAATACACCCTTGCAAATTCTACAAAGAGACTGTTTAATAATTGCTCTATAGGAAGAAAGGTTGAACTCTGTGAGTTGAATGCAGAGATCACAACGTGGTTTCTGCGAATGATTCTTTGTAGTTTTTACATGAAGATATTTCGTTGTCTACCGTAGGCTTCAAAGCACTCAAAGTATTCACTTGGAACTTTTACAAAAAGAGTGTTCAAAAACTGCTCTTTCCAAAGTAAGGTTCAACTCTGTGAGTTGAATGCACACATAACAACCAAGAAGTTTCTGAGAATTCTTCTGTCCTGGTTTATATGAAAAAATCCCGTTTCCAACGAAGGCCTCAAAGACGTTTAAATATCCACTTGCAGACTTCACAAACAGAGTGTTTCCAAACTGCTCTATGAAAAGAAAGGATAAACTCTGTGAGTTGAACGCACACATCACAAAGTAGTTTCTGAGAATGATACTGTCCAATTTTTATACGAAGATATTTCCTTTCCTACCATTGGCGTCAAAGCGCTAGAATTCTCCACTTGCAAATTCCACAAAAAGAGGGTTTCCAATCTGCTCTGCCTGAAGGCAGGTTCAACTCTGTGAGTTGAATACACACACACAAAGAAGCTACTGAGAATTCTTTTGTCAAGAATTATAAGAAGAAATCCCGTTTCCAACGAAGGCCTCAAAGAGTTCCAAATATCCACTTGCACACTGTACAAACTAAGTCTTTCCAAACTGCTCTATGCAAAGAAATGTTCAACCCTGTGAGTTTAATGCACACATCACAAAGCAGTTTCTGAGAATGATTCCCTCTAGTTTTTATACGAAGATAGCCTTTTCTACCATTGGCCTCAAGGCTCTTGGAATCTCCACCTGAAAATTCCGCAAAAAGCGTGTTTCCAATGCGCTCTGTCTAAAGGAAGGTTCAACTCTCTGAGTTCAATACATACATCCCAAAGGAAGTTACTGCGAATTCTTCTGTCTAGCATTATGTGAAGAAATCCCGTTTCCAACGAAAGCCTCAAAGAGGTCCAAATATCCAGTTGCAGAATTTACAAACTGACTGTTTCCAAACTCATCTATGAAAAGAAAGGTTAAACCCTGTGAGTTGAATGCACATATCACAAAGTAGTTCCTGAGAATGATTCTGTCTAGTTTTTATACGAAGATATTTCCTTTTCCACCAATGGCCTCAAAGTGCTTGAAATCTCCCCTTGCAAATTCCACAGAAAAGTGTTTCAAATCTGCACTGTCTGAAGGAAGGTTCAACCCTGTGAGTTGAATACACACACACAGAAAGAAATTCACTGAGAATTCTATTGTCTATCATTACACGAAGAAATCCCGTTTACTACGAAGGCCTCAAAGAGGTCCAAATATCCAGCTGCAGACATTACAAACTGAGTGTTTCCAAAGTGCTCTATGAAAAGAAGTGTTAAACACTGTGAGTTCAATGCACACATCCCAAAGCAGTTTCTGAGAATGATTCCGTCTATTTTTTCTACGAAGATATTTCCTTTTCTACCGTTGGCCACAAAGCGCTTGAAATCTCCACTTGCAAATTCCACAAAAAGAGAGTTTCAAATCTGCTCTGTCTAAAGGAAGGTTCAACTCTGTGAGTTGAATACACACCACAAAAAGAAGTTACTGAGAATTCTTCTGTCTAGCATTATATGAAAAATCCCGTTTCCAACGAAGGCCACAAAGAGGTCCAAATATCCACTTGCAGATTCTGCAAAAAGAGTGTTTCCAAACTGCTCTATGAAAAGAAACGTTAAACTCTGTGAGTTGAACGCAAACATCACAAAGTAGTTTCTGAGAATGACTCCGTCTAGTTTTTATACGAAGATATTTCCTTTCCTACCATTCACTTCAAAGCGCTTGAAGTCTCCCCCTGAAAATTCCACAAAAAGTGTTTCCAATCTGCTCCGCCTAAAGGAAGCTTCAACTCTGTGACTTGAATACCCACAACCCAAAGAAGTTACTGAGAATTCTTCTGTCTAGCATTATATGAAGAAATCCCGTTTCCAACGAAGGCCTCAAATACATCCAAATATCCAGTTGCTGACTTTACAAACTGAGTGTTTCCAAACTGCTCTATGAAAAGAAAGGTTAAACACTGTGAGTTGAACACACACGTACCAAAGTAGTTTCTGAGAATGATTCTGTCTAGTTTGCATACGAAGATATTTCCTTTTCTACCATTGGCCTCAAAGCTCTGAAATCTCCACTTGCAAATTCCACAAAAAGAGAGTTTCAAATCTGCTGTTTCTAAAGGAAAGTTCAACTCTGAGAGTTGAATACACACCAGAAAAAGCAGTTACTGAGAAGTCTTCTGTCTAGCATTATATGAAGAAATCCCATTTCCAACGAAGACTTCAAAGAGGTCCAAATATCCACTTGCAGATTCTGCAAAAAGAGTGTTTCGAAACAACTGTATGAAAAGAAAGGTTAAACACTGTGAGTTGAACGCACACATTGCAAAGCGGTTTCTGAGAATGATTCCGTCTAATTATTATACGAAGGTATTTCCTTTTCTATCATTGGCCTCAAAGCGCTTGATACCTCCACCTGAAAATTCCACAAAAAGAGTGTTTCCAATCTACTCTGTCTAAAGGAACGTTCAACTCTGTGAGTTGAATACACACACACAGAAAGAATTCACTGAGAATTCTTCTGTCTGGCATTACATGAAGAAATCCCGTTTCCAACGAAGGCCTCAAAGAGGTCCAAATATCCACTTGCAGATTCTGCAAAAAGAGTGTTTCAAAACCGCTCCATTAAAAGGAATGTTGAACTCTGTGAGTTGAATGCAAACATCACAACTCAGTTTCTGAGAATGCTTCTGACTAGATTTTATGGTCAGATATTTCCTTTTCTACCGTAGGCTTCAATGCCCTCTAAATACACCCTTGCAAATTCTACAAAGAGACTGTTTCATAACTGCTCTATAGGAAGAAAGGTTCAACTCTGTGAGTTGAATGCAGAGATCACAACGTGGTTTCTGCGAATGATTCTTTGTAGTTTTTACATGAAGATATTTCGTTGTCAACCGTAGGCTTCAAAGCACTCAAAGTATTCACTTGGAACTTTTACAAAAAGAGTGTTAGAAAACTGCTCTTTCCAAAGTAAGGTTCAACTCTGTGAGTTGAATGCACCCATAACAATCAAGAAGTTTCTGAGAATTCTTCTGTCCTGGTTTATATGAAAAAATCCCGTTTCCAACGAAGGCCTCAAAGACGTTTAAATATCCACTTGCAGACTTCACAAACAGAGGGTTTCCAAACTGCTCTATGAAAAGAAAGGTTAAACTCTGTGAGTTGAACGCACACATCACAAAGTAGCTTCTGAGAATGATACTGTCTAGTTTTTATACGAAGATATTTCCTTTCTACCATTGGCGTCAAAGCGCTAGAATTCTCCACTTGCAAATTCCACAAAAAGAGTGTTTCCAATCTGCTCTGTCTAAAGGAAGGTTCAACTCTGTGAGTTGAATACACACACACAAAGAAGCTACTGAGAATTCTTTTGTCAAGAATTATAAGAAGAAATCCCGTTTCCAACGAAGGCCTCAAAGAGTTCCAAATATCCACTTGCACACTGCACAAACTAAGTCTTTCCAAACTGCTCTATGCAAAGAAATGTTGAACTCTGTGAGTTTAATACACACATCACAAAGCAGTTTCTGAGAATGATACTGTCTAGTTTTTATACGAAGATATTTCCTTTTGTACCATTGGCCTCATACTGCTAGAATTTTCCACTTGCAAATTCCACAAAAAGAGTGTTTCCAATCCGCTCTGTCTAAAGGAAGGTTCAACTCTCTGATTTGAATACATACATCCCAAAAGAAGTTACTGAGAATTCATCTGTCTAGCATTATGTGAAGAAATCCCGTTTCCAACGAAAGCCTCAAAGAGGCCCAAATATCCAGTTGCAGCATTTACAAACTGACTGTTTCCAAACTCATCTATGAAAAGAAAGGTTAAACTCTGTGAGTTGAATGCACACATCACAAAGATAGTTCTCTGAGAATGCATTCTGTCTAGTTTTTATACGAAGATATTTCCTTTTCCACCAATGGCCTCAAAGTGCTTGAAATCTCCCCTTGCAAATTCCACAGACAAGTGTTTCAAATCTGCACTGTCTAAAGGAAGGTTCAACCCTGAGAGTTGAATACACACACACAGAAAAAAATTCACTGAGAATTCTATTGTCTATCATTACACGAAGAAATCCCGATTACTACGAAGGCCTCAAAGAGGTCCAAATATCCAGCTGCAGACATTACAAACTGAGTGTTTCCAAAGTGCTCTATGAAAAGAAGTGTTAAACACTGTGAGTTCAATGCACACATCCCAAAGCAGTTTCTGAGAATGATTCCGTCTATTTTTTCTACGAAGATATTTCCTTTTCTGCCGTTGGCCTCAAAGCGCTTGAAATCTCCACTTGCAAATTCCACAAAAAGAGAGTTTCAAATCTGCTCTGTCTAAAGGAAGGTTCAACTCTGTGAGTTGAATACACACCACAAAAAGAAGTTACTGAGAATTCTTCTGTCTAGCATTATATGAAAAATCCCGTTTCCAACGAAGGCCACAAAGAGGTCCAAATATCCACTTGCAGATTCTGCAAAAAGAGTGTTTCCAAACTGCTCTATGAAAAGAAACGTTAAACTCTGTGAGTTGAACGCAAACATCACAAAGTAGTTTCTGAGAATGACTCCGTCTAGTTTTTATACGAAGATATTTCCTTTCCTACCATTCACTTCAAAGCGCTTGAAGTCTCCCCCTGAAAATTCCACAAAAAGTGTTTCCAATCTGCTCCGCCTAAAGGAAGCTTCAACTCTGTGACTTGAATACCCACAACCCAAAGAAGTTACTGAGAATTCTTCTGTCTAGCACTATATGAAGAAATCCCGTTTCCAACGAAGGCCTCAAATACATCCAAATATCCAGTTGCTGACTTTACAAACTGAGTGTTTCCAAACTGCTCTATGAAAAGAAAGGTTAAACACTGTGAGTTGAACACACACGTACCAAAGTAGTTTCTGAGAATGATTCTGTCTAGTTTGCATACGAAGATATTTCCTTTTCTACCATTGGCCTCAAAGCTCTGAAATCTCCACTTGCAAATTCCACAAAAAGAGAGTTTCAAATCTGCTGTTTCTAAAGGAAAGTTCAACTCTGAGAGTTGAATACACACCAGAAAAAGCAGTTACTGAGAAGTCTTCTGTCTAGCATTATATGAAGAAATCCCATTTCCAACGAAGACTTCAAAGAGGTCCAAATATCCACTTGCAGATTCTGCAAAAAGAGTGTTTCGAAACAACTGTATGAAAAGAAAGGTTAAACACTGTGAGTTGAACGCACACATTGCAAAGCAGTTTCTGAGAATGATTCCGTCTAATTATTATACGAAGGTATTTCCTTTTCTATCATTGGCCTCAAAGCGCTTGATACCTCCACCTGAAAATTCCACAAAAAGAGTGTTTCCAATCTACTCTGTCTAAAGGAACGTTCAACTCTGTGAGTTGAATACACACACACAGAAAGAATTCACTGAGAATTCTTCTGTCTGGCATTACATGAAGAAATCCCGTTTCCAACGAAGGCCTCAAAGAGGTCCAAATATCCACTTGCAGATTCTGCAAAAAGAGTGTTTCAAAACCGCTCCATTAAAAGGAATGTTGAACTCTGTGAGTTGAATGCAAACATCACAACTCAGTTGCTGAGAATGCTTCTGACTAGATTTTATGGTAAGATATTTCTTTTTCTACCGTAGGCTTCAATGCCCTCTAAATACACCCTTGCAAATTCTACAAAGAGACTGTTTCATAACTGCTCTATAGGAAGAAAGGTTCAACTCTGTGAGTTGAATGCAGAGATCACAACGTGGTTTCTGCGAATGATTCTTTGTAGTTTTTACATGAAGATATTTCGTTGTCAACCGTAGGCTTCAAAGCACTCAAAGTATTCACTTGGAACTTTTACAAAAAGAGTGTTAGAAAACTGCTCTTTCCAAAGTAAGGTTCAACTCTGTGAGTTGAATGCACACATAACAATCAAGAAGTTTCTGAGAATTCTTCTGTCCTGGTTTATATGAAAAAATCCCGTTTCCAACGAAGGCCTCAAAGGCGTTTAAATATCCACTTGCAGACTTCACAAACAGAGTGTTTCCAAACTGCTCTATGAAAACAAAGGTTAAACTCTGTGAGTTGAACGCACACATCACAAAGTAGTTTCTGAGAATGATTCCATCTAGTTTTTATACGAAGATAGCCGTGTTCTACCATTGACCTCAAGGCTCTTGAAATCTCCACCTGAAAATTCTGCAAAAAGCGTGTTTCCAATCTGCTCTGTCTAAAGGAAGGTTCAACTCTCTGAGTTAAATACACACAACCCATAAGAAGTTACTGAGAATTCTTCTGTCTAGCATTATGTGAAGAAATCCCGTTTCCAACGAAAGCCTCAAAGAGGTCCAAATATCCAGTTGCAGAATTTACAAACTGACTGTTTCCAAACTCATCTATGAAAAGAAAGGTTAAACTGTGAGTTGAATGCACATATCACAAAGTAGTTCCTGAGAATGATTCTGTCTAGTTTTTATACGAAGATATTTCCTTTTCCACCACTGCCCTCAAGGTGCTTGAAATCTCCCCTTGCAAATTCCACAAAAGTGTTTCAAATCTGCACTGTCTAAAGGAAGGTTCAAACCTGTGAGTTGAATACACACACACAAAAAAAATTCACTGAGAATTCTACTGTCTATCATTACACGAAGAAATCCCGTTTACTACGAATGCCTCAAAGAGGTCCAAATATCCAGTTGCAGACAATACAAACTGAGTGTTTCCAAAGTGCTCTATGAAAAGAAGTGTTAAACACTGTGAGTTCAATGCACACATCCCAAAGCAGTTTCTGAGAATGATTCCGTCTATTTTTTCTACGAAGATATTTCCTTTTCTACCGTTGGCCTCAAAGCACTTGAATTCTCCACTTGCAAATACCACAAAAAGAGAGTTTCAAATCTGCTCTGTCTAAAGGAAGGTTCAACTCTGTGAGTTGAATACACACCAGAAAAAGCAGTTACTGAGAATTCTTCTGTCCAGCATTAAATGAAGAAATCCTTTTTCCAACGAAGACTTCAAAGAAGTCCAAAAAAATATCCACTTGAAGATTCTGCAAAAAGAGTGTTTCGAAACAACTGTATGAAAAGAAAGGTTAAACACTGTGAGTTGAACGCACACATTGCAAAGCAGTTTCTGAGAATGATTCCGTCTAATTATTATACGAAGGTATTTCCTTTTCTATCATTGGCCTCAAAGCGCTTGATACCTCCACCTGAAAATTCCACAAAAAGAGTGTTTCCAATCTACTCTGTCTAAAGGAACGTTCAACTCTGTGAGTTGAATACACACACACAGAAAGAATTCACTGAGAATTCTTCTGTCTGGCATTACATGAAGAAATCCCGTTTCCAACGAAGGCCTCAAAGAGGTCCAAATATCCACTTGCAGATTCTGCAAAAAGAGTGTTTCCAAACTGCTCTATGAAAAGAAACGTTAAACTCTGTGAGTTGAACGCAAACATCACAAAGTAGTTTCTGAGAATGACTCCGTCTAGTTTTTATACGAAGATATTTCCTTTCCTACCATTCACTTCAAAGCGCTTGAAGTCTCCCCCTGAAAATTCCACAAAAAGTGTTTCCAATCTGCTCCGCCTAAAGGAAGCTTCAACTCTGTGAGTTGAATACCCACAACCCAAAGAAGTTACTGAGAATTCTTCTGTCTAGCATTATATGAAGAAATCCCGTTTCCAACGAAGGCCTCAAATACATCCAAATATCCAGTTGCTGACTTTACAAACTGAGTGTTTCCAAACTGCTCTATGAAAAGAAAGGTTAAACACTGTGAGTTGAACACACACGTACCAAAGTAGTTTCTGAGAATGATTCTGTCTAGTTTGCATACGAAGATATTTCCTTTTCTACCAGTGGCCTCAAAGCTCTGAAATCTCCACTTGCAAATTCCACAAAAAGAGAGTTTCAAATCTGCTGTTTCTAAAGGAAAGTTCAACTCTGAGAGTTGAATACACACCAGAAAAAGCAGTTACTGAGAAGTCTTCTGTCTAGCATTATATGAAGAAATCCCATTTCCAACGAAGACTTCAAAGAGGTCCAAATATCCACTTGCAGATTCTGCAAAAAGAGTGTTTCGAAACAACTGTATGAAAAGAAAGGTTAAACACTGTGAGTTGAACGCACACATTGCAAAGCGGTTTCTGAGAATGATTCCGTCTAATTATTATACGAAGGTATTTCCTTTTCTATCATTGGCCTCAAAGCGCTTGATACCTCCACCTGAAAATTCCACAAAAAGAGTGTTTCCAATCTACTCTGTCTAAAGGAACGTTCAACTCTGTGAGTTGAATACACACACACAGAAAGAATTCACTGAGAATTCTTCTGTCTGGCATTACATGAAGAAATCCCGTTTCCAACGAAGGCCTCAAAGAGGTCCAAATATCCACTTGCAGATTCTGCAAAAAGAATGTTTCAAAACCGCTCCATTAAAAGGAATGTTGAACTCTGTGAGTTGAATGCAAACATCACAACTCAGTTTCTGAGAATGCTTCTGACTAGATTTTATGGTAAGATATTTCCTTTTCTACCGTAGGCTTCAATGCCCTCTAAATACACCCTTGCAAATTCTACAAAGAGACTGTTTCATAACTGCTCTATAGGAAGAAAGGTTGAACTCTGTGAGTTGACTGCAGAGATCACAACGTGGTTTCTGCGAATGATTCTTTGTAGTTTTTACATGAAGATATTTCGTTGTCAACCGTAGGCTTCAAAGCACTCAAAGTATTCACTTGGAACTTTTACAAAAAGAGTGTTAGAAAACTGCTCTTTCCAAAGTAAGGTTCAACTCTGTGAGTTGAATGCACACATAACAATCAAGAAGTTTCTGAGAATTCTTCTGTCCTGGTTTATATGAAAAAATCCCGTTTCCAACGAAGGCCTCAAAGACGTTTAAATATCCACTTGCAGACTTCACAAACAGAGGGTTTCCAAACTGCTCTATGAAAAGAAAGGTTAAACTCTGTGAGTTGAACGCACACATCACAAAGTAGCTTCTGAGAATGATACTGTCTAGTATTTATACGAAGATATTTCCTTTCTACCATTGGCGTCAAAGCGCTAGAATTCTCCACTTGCAAATTCCACAAAAAGAGTGTTTCCAATCTGCTCTGTCTAAAGGAAGGTTCAACTCTGTGAGTTGAATACACACACACAAAGAAGCTACTGAGATTTCTTTTTTCAAGAAATTATAAGAAGAAATCCCGTTTCCAACGAAGGCCTCAAAGAGTTCCAAATATCCACTTGCACACTGCACAAACTAAGTCTTTCCAAACTGCTCTATGCAAAGAAATGTTCAACTCTGTGAGTTTAATACACACATCACAAAGCAGTTTCTGAGAATGATACTGTCTAGTTTTTATACGAAGATATTTCCTTTTGTACCATTGGCCTCATACTGCTAGAATTTTCCACTTGCAAATTCCACAAAAAGAGTGTTTCCAATCCGCTCTGTCTAAAGGAAGGTTCAACTCTCTGATTTGAATACATACATCCCAAAAGAAGTTACTGAGAATTCTTCTGTCTAGCATTATGTGAAGAAATCCCGTTTCCAACAAAAGCCTCAAAGAGGCCCAAATATCCAGTTGCAGCATTTACAAACTGACTGTTTCCAACTCATCTATGAAAAGAAATGTTAAACTCTGTGAGTTGAATGCGCATATCACAAAGTAGTTCCTGAGAATGATTCTGTATAGTTTTCATACGAAGATATTTCCTTTTCCACCAATGGCCTCAAAGTGCTTGAAATCTCCCCTTGCAAATTCCACAGACAAGTGTTTCAAATCTGCACTGTCTAAAGGATGGTTCAACCCTGTGAGTTGAATACACACACACAGAAAAAAATTCACTGAGAATTCTATTGTCTATCATTACACGAAGAAATCCCGTTTACTACGAAGGCCTCAAAGAGGTCCAAATATCCAGCTGCAGACATTACAAACTGAGTGTTTCCAAAGTGCTCTATGAAAAGAAGTGTTAAACACTGTGAGTTCAATGCACACATCCCAAAGCAGTTTCTGAGAATGATTCCGTCTATTTTTTCTACGAAGATATTTCCTTTTCTGCCGTTGGCCTCAAAGCGCTTGAAATCTCCACTTGCAAATTCCACAAAAAGAGAGTTTCAAATCTGCTCTGTCTAAAGGAAGGTTCAACTCTGTGAGTTGAATACACACCACAAAAAGAAGTTACTGAGAATTCTTCTGTCTAGCATTATATGAAAAATCCCGTTTCCAACGAAGGCCACAAAGAGGTCCAAATATCCACTTGCAGATTCTGCAAAAAGAGTGTTTCCAAACTGCTCTATGAAAAGAAACGTTAAACTCTGTGAGTTGAACGCAAACATCACAAAGTAGTTTCTGAGAATGACTCCGTCTAGTTTTTATACGAAGATATTTCCTTTCCTACCATTCACTTCAAAGCGCTTGAAGTCTCCCCCTGAAAATTCCACAAAAAGTGTTTCCAATCTGCTCCGCCTAAAGGAAGCTTCAACTCTGTGAGTTGAATACCCACAACCCAAAGAAGTTACTGAGAATTCTTCTGTCTAGCATTATATGAAGAAATCCCGTTTCCAACGAAGGCCTCAAATACATCCAAATATCCAGTTGCTGACTTTACAAACTGAGTGTTTCCAAACTGCTCTATGAAAAGAAAGGTTAAACACTGTGAGTTGAACACACACGTACCAAAGTAGTTTCTGAGAATGATTCTGTCTAGTTTGCATACGAAGATATTTCCTTTTCTACCATTGGCCTCAAAGCTTTGAAATCTCCACTTGCAAATTCCACAAAAAGAGAGTTTCAACTCTGCTGATTCTAAAGGAAAGTTCAACTCTGAGAGTTGAATACACACCAGAAAAAGCAGTTACTGAGAAGTCTTCTGTCTAGCATTATATGAAGAAATCCCATTTCCAACGAAGACTTCAAAGAGGTCCAAATATCCACTTGCAGATTCTGCAAAAAGAGTGTTTCGAAACAACTGTATGAAAAGAAAGGTTAAACACTGTGAGTTGAACGCACACATTGCAGAGCAGTTTCTGAGAATGATTCCGTCTAATTATTATACGAAGGTATTTCCTTTTCTATCATTGGCCTCAAAGCGCTTGATACCTCCACCTGAAAATTCCACAAAAAGAGTGTTTCCAATCTACTCTGTCTAAAGGAACGTTCAACTCTGTGAGTTGAATACACACACACAGAAAGAATTCACTGAGAATTCTTCTGTCTGGCATTACATGAAGAAATCCCGTTTCCAACGAAGGCCTCAAAGAGGTCCAAATATCCACTTGCAGATTCTGCAAAAAGAGTGTTTCAAAACCGCTCCCATTAAAAGGAATGTTGAACTCTGTGAGTTGAATGCAAACATCACAACTCAGTTGCTGAGAATGCTTCTGACTAGATTTTATGGTAAGATATTTCCTTTTCTACCGTAGGCTTCAATGCCCTCTAAATACACCCTTGCAAATTCTACAAAGAGACTGTTTCATAACTGCTCTATAGGAAGAAAGGTTCAACTCTGTGAGTTGAATGCAGAGATCACAACGTGGTTTCTGCGAATGATTCTTTGTAGATTTTACATGAAGATATTTCGTTCTCAACCGTAGGCTTCAAAGCACTCAAAGTATTCACTTGGAACTTTTACAAAAAGAGTGTTAGAAAACTGCTCTTTCCAAAGTAAGGTTCAACTCTGTGAGTTGAATGCACACATAACAATCAAGAAGTTTCTGAGAATTCTTCTGTCCTGGTTTATATGAAGAAATCCCGTTTCCAACGAAGGCCTCAAAGACGTTTAAATATCCACTTGCAGACTTCACAAACAGAGGGTTTCCAAACTGCTCTATGAAAAGAAAGGTTAAACTCTGTGAGTTGAACGCACACATCACAAAGTAGCTTACTGAGAATGATACTGTCTAGTTTTTATACGAAGTATATTTCCTTTCTACCATTGGCGTCAAAGCGCTAGAATTCTCCACTTGCAAATTCCACAAAAAGAGTGTTTCCAATCTGCTCTGTCTAAAGGAAGGTTCAACTCTGTGAGTTGAATACACACACACAAAGAAGCTACTGAGAATTCTTTTGTCAAGAATTATAAGAAGAAATCCCGTTTCCAACGAAGGCCTCAAAGAGTTCCAAATATCCACTTGCACACTGCACAAACTAAGTCTTTCCAAACTGCTCTATGCAAAGAAATGTTCAACTCTGTGAGTTTAATACACACATCACAAAGCAGTTTCTGAGAATGATACTGTCTAGTTTTTATACGAAGATATTTCCTTTTGTACCATTGGCCTCATACTGCTAGAATTTTCCACTTGCAAATTCCACAAAAAGAGTGTTTCCAATCCGCTCTGTCTAAAGGAAGGTTCAACTCTCTGATTTGAATACATACATCCCAAAAGAAGTTACTGAGAATTCTTCTGTCTAGCATTATGTGAAGAAATCCCGTTTCCAACGAAAGCCTCAAAGAGGTCCAAATATCCAGTTGCAGAATTTACAAACTGACTGTTTCCAAACTCATCTATGAAAAGAAAGGTTAAACTCTGGGAGTTGAATGCACATATCACAAAGTAGTTCCTGAGAATGATTCTGTCTAGTTTTCATACGAAGATATTTCCTTTTCCACCAATGGCCTCAAAGTGCTTGAAATCTCCCCTTGCAAATTCCACAGACAAGTGTTTCAAATCTGCACTGTCTAAAGGAAGGTTCAACCCTGTGAGTTGAATACACACACACAGAAAAAAATTCACTGAGAATTCTATTGTCTATCATTACACGAAGAAATCCCGTTTACTACGAAGGCCTCAAAGAGGTCCAAATATCCAGCTGCAGACATTACAACCTGAGTGTTTCCAAAGTGCTCTATGAAAAGAAGTGTTAAACACTGTGAGTTCAATGCACACATCCCAAAGCAGTTTCTGAGAATGATTCCGTCTATTTTTTCTACGAAGATATTTCCTTTTCTGCCGTTGGCCTCAAAGCGCTTGAAATCTCCACTTGCAAATTCCACAAAAAGAGAGTTTCAAATCTGCTCTGTCTAAAGGAAGGTTCAACTCTGTGAGTTGAATACACACCACAAAAAGAAGTTACTGAGAATTCTTCTGTCTAGCATTATATGAAAAATCCCGTTTCCAACGAAGGCCACAAAGAGGTCCAAATATCCACTTGCAGATTCTGCAAAAAGAGTGTTTCCAAACTGCTCTATGAAAAGAAACGTTAAACTCTGTGAGTTGAACGCAAACATCACAAAGTAGTTTCTGAGAATGACTCCGTCTAGTTTTTATACGAAGATATTTCCTTTCCTACCATTCACTTCAAAGCGCTTGAAGTCTCCCCCTGAAAATTCCACAAAAAGTGTTTCCAATCTGCTCCGCCTAAAGGAAGCTTCAACTCTGTGACTTGAATACCCACAACCCAAAGAAGTTACTGAGAATTCTTCTGTCTAGCATTATATGAAGAAATCCCGTTTCCAACGAAGGCCTCAAATACATCCAAATATCCAGTTGCTGACTTTACAAACTGAGTGTTTCCAAACTGCTCTATGAAAAGAAAGGTTAAACACTGTGAGTTGAACACACACGTACCGAAGTAGTTTCTGAGAATGATTCTGTCTAGTTTGCATACGAAGATATTTCCTTTTCTACCATTGGCCTCAAAGCTCTGAAATCTCCACTTGCAAATTCCACAAAAAGAGAGTTTCAAATCTGCTGTTTCTAAAGGAAAGTTCAACTCTGAGAGTTGAATACACACCAGAAAAAGCAGTTACTGAGAAGTCTTCTGTCTAGCATTATATGAAGAAATCCCATTTCCAACGAAGACTTCAAAGAGGTCCAAATATCCACTTGCAGATTCTGCAAAAAGAGTGTTTCGAAACAACTGTATGAAAAGAAAGGTTAAACACTGTGAGTTGAACGCACACATTGCAAAGCAGTTTCTGAGAATGATTCCGTCTAATTATTATACGAAGGTATTTCCTTTTCTATCATTGGCCTCAAAGCGCTTGATACCTCCACCTGAAAATTCCACAAAAAGAGTGTTTCCAATCTACTCTGTCTAAAGGAACGTTCAACTCTGTGAGTTGAATACACACACACAGAAAGAATTCACTGAGAATTCTTCTGTCTGGCATTACATGAAGAAATCCCGTTTCCAACGAAGGCCTCAAAGAGGTCCAAATATCCACTTGCAGATTCTGCAAAAAGAGTGTTTCAAAACCGCTCCATTTAAAGGAATGTTGAACTCTGTGAGTTGAATGCAAACATCACAACTCAGTTTCTGAGAATGCTTCTGACTAGATTTTATGGTAAGATATTTCCTTTTCTACCGTAGGCTTCAATGCCCTCTAAATACACCCTTGCAAATTCTACAAAGAGACTGTTTCATAACTGCTCTATAGGAAGAAAGGTTCAACTCTGTGAGTTGAATGCAGAGATCACAACGTGGTTTCTGCGAATGATTCTTTGTAGTTTTTACATGAAGATATTTCGTTGTCAACCGTAGGCTTCAAAGCACTCAAAGTATTCACTTGGAACTTTTACAAAAAGAGTGTTAGAAAACTGCTCTTTCCAAAGTAAGGTTCAACTCTGTGAGTTGAATGCACCCATAACAATCAAGAAGTTTCTGAGAATTCTTCTGTCCTGGTTTATATGAAAAAATCCCGTTTCCAACGAAGGCCTCAAAGACGTTTAAATATCCACTTGCAGACTTCACAAACAGAGTGTTTCCAAACTGCTCTATGAAAAGAAAGGTTAAACTCTGTGAGTTGAACGCACACATCACAAAGTAGTTTCTGAGAATGATACTGTCTAGTTTTTATACGAAGATATTTCCTTTCTACCATTGGCGTCAAAGCGCTAGAATTCTCCACTTGCAAATTCCACAAAAAGAGTGTTTCCAATCTGCTCTGTCTCAAGGAAGGTTCAACTCTGTGAGTTGAATACACACACACAAAGAAGCTACTGAGAATTCTTTTGTCAAGAATTATAAGAAGAAATCCCGTTTCCAACGAAGGCCTCAAAGAGTTCCAAATATCCACTTGCACACTGCACAAACTAAGTCTTTCCAAACTGCTCTATGCAAAGAAATGTTCAACTATGTGAGTTTAATACACACATCACAAAGCAGTTTCTGAGAATGATACTGTCTAGTTTTTATACGAAGATATTTCCTTTTGTACCATTGGCCTCATACTGCTAGAATTTTCCACTTGCAAATTCCACAAAAAGAGTGTTTCCAATCCGCTCTGTCTAAAGGAAGGTTCAACTCTCTGATTTGAATACATACATCCCAAAAGAAGTTACTGAGAATTCTTCTGTCTAGCATTATGTGAAGAAATCCCGTTTCCAACGAAAGCCTCAAAGAGGTCCAAATATCCAGTTGCAGAATTTACAAACTGACTGTTTCCAAACTCATCTATGAAAAGAAAGGTTAAACTCTGGGAGTTGAATGCACATATCACAAAGTAGTTCCTGAGAATGATTCTGTCTAGTTTTTATACGAAGATATTTCCTTTTCCACCAATGGCCTCAAAGTGCTTGAAATCTCCCCTTGCAAATTCCACAGACAAGTGTTTCAAATCTACACTGTCTAAAGGAAGGTTCAACCCTGTGAGTTGAATACACACACACAGAAAAAAATTCACTGAGAATTCTATTGTCTATCATTACACGAAGAAATCCCGTTTACTACGAAGGCCTCAAAGAGGTCCAAATATCCAGCTGCAGACATTACAAACTGAGTGTTTCCAAAGTGCTCTATGAAAAGAAGTGTTAAACACTGTGAGTTCAATGCACACATCCCAAAGCAGTTTCTGAGAATGATTCCGTCTATTTTTTCTACGAAGATATTTCCTTTTCTGCCGTTGGCCTCAAAGCGCTTGAAATCTCCACTTGCAAATTCCACAAAAAGAGAGTTTCAAATCTGCTCTGTCTAAAGGAAGGTTCAACTCTGTGAGTTGAATACACACCACAAAAAGAAGTTACTGAGAATTCTTCTGTCTAGCATTATATGAAAAATCCCGTTTCCAACGAAGGCCACAAAGAGGTCCAAATATCCACTTGCAGATTCTGCAAAAAGAGTGTTTCCAAACTGCTCTATGAAAAGAAACGTTAAACTCTGTGAGTTGAACGCAAACATCACAAAGTAGTTTCTGAGAATGACTCCGTCTAGTTTTTATACGAAGATATTTCCTTTCCTACCATTCACTTCAAAGCGCTTGAAGTCTCCCCCTGAAAATTCCACAAAAAGTGTTTCCAATCTGCTCCGCCTAAAGGAAGCTTCAACTCTGTGACTTGAATACCCACAACCCAAAGAAGTTACTGAGAATTCTTCTGTCTAGCATTATATGAAGAAATCCCGTTTCCAACGAAGGCCTCAAATACATCCAAATATCCAGTTGCTGACTTTACAAACTGAGTGTTTCCAAACTGCTCTATGAAAAGAAAGGTTAAACACTGTGAGTTGAACACACACGTACCAAAGTAGTTTCTGAGAATGATTCTGTCTAGTTTGCATACGAAGATATTTCCTTTTCTACCATTGGCCTCAAAGCTCTGAAATCTCCACTTGCAAATTCCACAAAAAGAGAGTTTCAAATCTGCTGTTTCTAAAGGAAAGTTCAACTCTGAGAGTTGAATACACACCAGAAAAAGCAGTTACTGAGAAGTCTTCTGTCTAGCATTATATGAAGAAATCCCATTTCCAACGAAGACTTCAAAGAGGTCCAAATATCCACCTGCAGATTCTGCAAAAAGAGTGTTTCGAAACAACTGTATGAAAAGAAAGGTTAAACACTGTGAGTTGAACGCACACATTGCAAAGCAGTTTCTGAGAATGATTCCGTCTAATTATTATACGAAGGTATTTCCTTTTCTATCATTGGCCTCAAAGCGCTTGATACCTCCACCTGAAAATTCCACAAAAAGAGTGTTTCCAATCTACTCTGTCTAAAGGAACGTTCAACTCTGTGAGTTGAATACACACACACAGAAAGAATTCACTGAGAATTCTTCTGTCTGGCATTACATGAAGAAATCCCGTTTCCAACGAAGGCCTCAAAGAGGTCCAAATATCCACTTGCAGATTCTGCAAAAAGAGTGTTTCAAAACCGCTCCATTAAAAGGAATGTTGAACTCTGTGAGTTGAATGCAAACATCACAACTCAGTTTCTGAGAATGCTTCTGACTAGATTTTATGGTAAGATATTTCCTTTTCTACCGTAGGCTTCAATGCCCTCTAAATACACCCTTGCAAATTCTACAAAGAGACTGTTTCATAACTGCTCTATAGGAAGAAAGGTTCAACTCTGTGAGTTGAATGCAGAGATCACAACGTGGTTTCTGCGAATGATTCTTTGTAGTTTTTACATGAAGATATTTCGTTGTCAACCGTAGGCTTCAAAGCACTCAAAGTATTCACTTGGAACTTTTACAAAAAGAGTGTTAGAAAACTGCTCTTTCCAAAGTAAGGTTCAACTCTGTGAGTTGAATGCACACATAACAATCAAGAAGTTTCTGAGAATTCTTCTGTCCTGGTTTATATGAAGAAATCCCGTTTCCAACGAAGGCCTCAAAGACGTTTAAATATCCACTTGCAGACTTCACAAACAGAGGGTTTCCAAACTGCTCTATGAAAAGGAAGGTTAAACTCTGTGAGTTGAACGCACACATCACAAAGTAGCTTCTGAGAATGATACTGTCTAGTTTTTATACGAAGATATTTCCTTTCTACCATTGGCGTCAAAGCGCTAGAATTCTCCACTTGCAAATTCCACAAAAAGAGTGTTTCCAATCTGCTCTGTCTAAAGGAAGGTTCAACTCTGTGAGTTGAATACACACACACAAAGAAGCTACTGAGAATTCTTTTGTCAAGAATTATAAGAAGAAATCCCGTTTCCAACGAAGGCCTCAAAGAGTTCCAAATATCCACTTGCACACTGCACAAACTAAGTCTTTCCAAACTGCTCTATGCAAAGAAATGTTCAACTCTGTGAGTTTAATACACACATCACAAAGCAGTTTCTGAGAATGATACTGTCTAGTTTTTATACGAAGATATTTCCTTTTGTACCATTGGCCTCATATTGCTAGAATTTTCCACTTGCAAATTCCACAAAAAGAGTGTTTCCAATCCGCTCTGTCTAAAGGAAGGTTCAACTCTCTGATTTGAATACATACATCCCAAAAGAAGTTACTGAGAATTCTTCTGTCTAGCATTATGTGAAGAAATCCCGTTTCCAACGAAAGCCTCAAAGAGGTCCAAATATCCAGTTGCAGAATTTACAAACTGACTGTTTCCAAACTCATCTATGAAAAGAAAGGTTAAACTCTGTGAGTTGAATGCACATATCACAAAGTAGTTCCTGAGAATGATTCTGTCTAGTTTTCATACGAAGATATTTCCTTTTCCACCAATGGCCTCAAAGTGCTTGAAATCTCCCCTTGCAAATTCCACAGACAAGTGTTTCAAATCTGCACTGTCTAAAGGAAGGTTCAACCCTGTGAGTTGAATACACACACACAGAAAAAAATTCACTGAGAATTCTATTGTCTATCATTACACGAAGAAATCCCGTTTACTACGAAGGCCTCAAAGAGGTCCAAATATCCAGCTGCAGACATTACAAACTGAGTGTTTCCAAAGTGCTCTATGAAAAGAAGTGTTAAACACTGTGAGTTCAATGCACACATCCCAAAGCAGTTTCTGAGAATGATTCCGTCTATTTTTTCTACGAAGATATTTCCTTTTCTGCCGTTGGCCTCAAAGCGCTTGAAATCTCCACTTGCAAATTCCACAAAAAGAGAGTTTCAAATCTGCTCTGTCTAAAGGAAGGTTCAACTCTGTGAGTTGAATACACACCACAAAAAGAAGTTACTGAGAATTCTTCTGTCTAGCATTATATGAAAAATCCCGTTTCCAACGAAGGCCACAAAGAGGTCCAAATATCCACTTGCAGATTCTGCAAAAAGAGTGTTTCCAAACTGCTCTATGAAAAGAAACGTTAAACTCTGTGAGTTGAACGCAAACATCACAAAGTAGTTTCTGAGAATGACTCCGTCTAGTTTTTATACGAAGATATTTCCTTTTCTACCATTCACTTCAAAGCGCTTGAAGTCTCCCCCTGAAAATTCCACAAAAAGTGTTTCCAATCTGCTCCGCCTAAAGGAAGCTTCAACTCTGTGACTTGAATGCCCACAACCCAAAGAAGTTACTGAGAATTCTTCTGTCTAGCATTATATGAAGAAATCCCGTTTCCAACGAAGGCCTCAAATACATCCAAATATCCAGTTGCTGACTTTACAAACTGAGTGTTTCCAAACTGCTCTATGAAAAGAAAGGTTAAACACTGTGAGTTGAACACACACGTACCAAAGTAGTTTCTGAGAATGATTCTGTCTAGTTTGCATACGAAGA